>NC_000013.11:18171248-18358106 GCF_000001405.40 Homo sapiens
GAATTCCTCCTTGCACATTTCTGCTTTATCTCATCTACACAGAAGTGATCCAATATTTAGCTATAGAGCTATATTAGTTAAGAAGGTATTTTTAAAGTAAAATTTGTAGGTTTTTAGCTTAGTCTCCATTTAAAATATGTTCTGTTTTCTTAACTTCAGGATATGTGTGTAGTTTGTGGCAGTTTTGGCCAAGGAGCAGAAGGAGGATTACTTGCCTGTTCTCAGTGTGGTCAGTGTTACCATCCATAGTTTGTCAGTATTAAGGTAAACATCCTTAAATTGAGTTAACAAATATGTATTGAATTTTTATTTGGTTTTAGTAGTAACATGAGCTCCTAGTTCTCACAATTAAGTATTATGATTATTAAACATATGTGACAGTATTTAAGCACTTTAAATACTGCTTTTAAGGGTTTCCTATCTCAAGAAATTTGCTCCTCTATAAATCTTATATTGTACTAATATCCCGCTTTTGTCTTGAAAAAGTAAAACATAAAAATATATGCATTTAATTTAAAAGACAATTTATACTATTCACAAAGATTTTAGGTTTAGGTGATTCATTTTGTCTGTTGATTTAAAAAGCTGAGAACTGGAGTATTTAGTAAAAAATTATTGGCCCATTCTGTTCTTTCCCGCATTCTCTCTCCTCTGTGCTCACTCGTATACAAAATGACATTTTCTCCTTATAGCCAAAAGAAACAAAACAAGTGTCATATTTAATGCAATTGGTGATAATCGAGAGTCAGCACTGCTCACTTTCAAGCATTTCAGGATAGAGGCTTTCTGGGGAACCTTTTAAGTGGTATCGTGTGCTTGGTTTTAAATATGGACAGGTCTCAATACTTCACTAGTTGTATCTAAGGTTCTTGGTTTTTTCTTTTTAAGAACTCAGTCTTAATAAAACTTACATATTTGAATAAAGTGTCATGGCCACTGAAAGCAAGCATGGAGGTATAGCTGTACAGCAGAGGTCTTAAACTGTATACTCCATGGACCTGACTGTGGCCTGGGGGTTGGGGACCCCTGCTATAGAGGATTCAGATTTAAATTCAGAAGTTAGAATGAAAAAGAATTATATTCTTTATCTAAATGATTTCACAGTTAACTGAGAGAAAGTCAGTATAAGTTGAAAAGTTTATAAGTGTTAATAAGAATGAAAAATATGTACAATATGCAATTACTATTAAATATAATTTGCCCATAGTTGCACACTGATTTCATTATCATGGCAGTTAAGTATCAGAGCTTCTGGTTTCTCACTCTTCATTCATGTATTCAGCAACCATGTGCTAAGGTACTAGGACAAGCACTGGATTAACAAGAAAAAGATGATACGGTCCACCCCTCAACAACTGTATGCTATAATCCGAAAAAACAAGCAGGCAATTCCCATACAGAGTCATACATACAATGACAGGCATAAGACACCACTTACTGGAAGACATAGAAGGGATACTAGCCCAGGTTTGTGTTAATATTGTAGGCTTTTTGGTAGAGGCAATTCATAGGTTGATATCTGAAGGGGAAGGAAAACACATGTAGGATAGAGGGAAGAAGTAAATGCGAAGAGCTGGAGGTGAGGACGATCACTGTGGAGCTCTGTGTAGTCTAGTTTGGCTGGATGCTAGAACAAAGGTGCAGAGTATGGTAAGTGGAGAAAGATAAGGCTGAATAACCTGACAAGAACCACACTGATGTGAGAGTTTTGATTCCATGCTAAGGAATTTTCAACTTTTCCCAGGTGCAAAAGGAAACCAATGACAAAGTCAATGACTAGAGATTTAAAATGTCACTGGTCAGGTGACTGCTTGTGACCTGTAATTGCTTAACTAATTATTATCACATGAGTGTGGGGTCTGTTAGCCTTAAATCACTACCTTAACCTTGAGAAGTTGATGATGCCTTTGTTTTCTGAGAACAGTTTCAGTGTGCAGGCTGACAGTTCTATAGGGGTGGCAGAAGAAAAGTGTAGGGCCAGAAAAAAAGAGATACACAGACTTCTTGTGATTTTTTTAAAGCTATGGAACATGATGAAGTAACAAAGCATAAGTATACCCTTCACTATGAATGATTATGTTTTCACATCTTTCACTAGATGTGTGTAAGAAAAAATATTTAATGTAGCATGTATTAACCAAGCAATTGAGAGGAATACCGTTCACTACTTACAGTTTATTTCAGAAATCAGTGATTTGAATTTAATTCATAAATTTTGGCAACATACCTTCATCTAGCTCTTGAACACCTGGCAGCATCTGAAATAAATCAAATATTACTTATAATGTTTCAGTCAAACAAGAGACATTATCATGTAAACCCACTGCAAGTCAAGGAGCATCTGTACTGTAGATTGATCATCCCTAATCTAAAAATCTGAAATCCAAAATGCTCTACAACCTGAAACTTTTTGAGCACGGACATGACACCACAACTGCAACACAACGTTCCACACCTGACCTCATGTGACAGGCTCTGGGGAAAACAGTAAAAACTTTGTTACCTGCAAAAAATTACTGTAAAACATTGTAGAGAATTAGCTTCAGGCTATGTGCATAAGGTATATATGAAACATAAATGAATTTCATGTTTAGACTCAGGTACCATCCCCAAGATATTTCATTAGGTATATACAAATATTCCAAAATCTGAAAAAAATCTACTTTTGGTCCCAAGCATTTTGGACAAGGGACATTTAACCCGTCCTACTGGAAAAATAAAATTCCTTTTCAGTATGACAGAAATTAAGAGATCAGCTTACCAAACTTGAACGCTGCAGGATTTTCTCAAGCCGCTCAATTTGGTCATCCTGTTTTTTAATCGTTTTTCTCATCATGGCATTTTCTACTTCAAGCCTAAAATGTGCATTTTAAAATAATTACTCTCACATATAATTGTTTTTAAAACATGTAAATTCTAAACAAACTTCTGAAGGTATAATTACACAAATTCTTAGCAATCGCAAAAGTAGATGACTGGGCTACTGTGTCATTTTTCTACCTGTGTTTTGTTGATAATATGCAAAATTTAGGAATAATGAAGAAAAATGATGTATGTCAATATAGCTTACAGATGAAACTTTTTTGGCTTCACAAAGACATACTTATTATCATAACTGATACAATTTTCATACTACAGTGCTCTCTTGCTTTATAAATACTCAAGTTATTTTGTGTGCTGCTTCAAATTTTACTTTTGTGCGTCACCTTCCATCTCCTTAGTACATCTTATAGTAGCTGTAAGTTGATCCTGTATTTCTTGAAACTAAAACAAAGAATTAAAAAAAATTACATTTGGAAATGACCTAAATGTCCATCAGTAGATGAATGAATCAACAAAATATATATAAAATATTTTAGACTATCACAATCTTTTTTATTTAAAAAAGGTCAGAATCTAGGATAAATCATCCCATTACCTGTTTTTTGTAATTAATTTTAGTGGGACACTGCCACATCCCTTCAATCTGCATATTGTTCGTGGCTACTTTTGTGCTATAACTGCAGGGCTTGAGTTATTGCAACAATGATATTATGGCTCACAAAGTCTTAAGTAATACTATCTGGCCCTTTACAGAAAAGTTCACAGACCCCTGCTCTAGAACTAAAACACAACATTCTTCTTGCTTTTGAATTACATTTTATCAGTTAAATACTCAAACTTGCAAACTGGTAAAATGTGGAAAGATAAAGGATTACCTCATGCTAAGCATTTATATTTTGAATTCCAAACACTACCACATCAACTATAATTTTATTTTTTGTATGTATGCATTTAGTTTTATTATAGCAAAGCAACTTGCACATTTTTAAATATTTAAAACTAAGCGTCATCTTTCCTTTCTAGAGAAACAACAAGAAAATTTAAAAACAAGCAGGAACAAAATTAAAATCGACAAAGTCAGTTCCAAATAAGATCCTACAGGATCTTATTGACTCTCCCATTGAATAGCAGGACTCAAGTCATCATTAGGAGAGAAGTAATTTAAAAGCGTCATCTTAAACTGCAAAGATGTCCATTAAACATGTCAAAGGAGAAACCTTGTTGTCTAAATGCCCACTTAACCAACCCGAACATCTCAAACTCATCCTTTGCTGACCTTCTATAACCCCTTTTTTAGTTTAGCTTTTTCTATAAATAAGAGAAAATAGATACATGTTGGCAAATGCTAACTGTCCATATTCATATAGAGACAAAATGTGCTCTCTGAGCCCAATAGAGAGTAAGGATTTTCATCAAAATAAAAATTTATTCAGTAAAATGGCCTTTCTGAACAAGTTAACCTGAAATCTATGAAATAAGTACACACAGGTTCTTTATACATTCAGAAAAGTAGAAACTAAAAATAAGATAATTTTCTGAAACATTCCATTAGACATTGTCCTCTGAATTAATCTGGCTTGCCTCACCATGCCAACAGAGAAATCATTAAAAATAGACTGTTTAACAGGAAAAAAAACTCTCTCAACTTCTGTGAGAAATGATGCATAATTCTCAACTTTCCTAAGGTTAAATATTTAAGAAAAAATATGCATAAAAAAATGGCAGAATAAAAGAGATTAAGATATAGGTGCGTTATAATAAAATTTTAATAAAATTAATAATAAGGAAAATACAAAAGAAAGCCATCCACTATAAAATTTTAATAAAATTAATTATAATAAAAATACAAAAGAAAGCCATCCACTAAAATTAGTACCCCAAAACACTTTATATTAGTTAGCTAGCTACAGATGAACAGTTGTTGGCATGCAAAGTTTCATACATACTTGACTTCTCATCTGGTCTAATTTCTTCCTTGAATCCTGCATCTCATTTTCTAAATAGATGCAGTGACGCGATGAAGCATCCAGCAAAGCTTTTGTTGCTGATTGTTTGTTTAAGACATCATCTCGTTTTCATTGAAGCTGTCTCACAGCTACCTGATGTTATTTTTGTTACTGATTTTACAAATCACCTTATTATTAAACCATTAATAATATTTAACTCTAAAGCATATACTTTAAAAAATATCACCACACAGATCGATTCACCTTCTTTTCCTCATGTGTACACATTCCTGTGTATTACTGAATCCAGTTAAGGATACAGAAGGTGTTATCTTCCTGCCAAACTGGTATTGTTATTCACACAACATATTCAGCCCACTAGTCATTCCTCCCCTGATGAATCTGCAATGCTTAAAAACCTGAAGTCTCAAAAATAAATGAGTATGTGGGTGAGACCGATGGTAGTAAATTATACATTGTGGAATGATTTCCCTCTTTCTTTTTATTAGAAACTCAAATCAACCTCAGAGTTCCTCACGTTAAATCATCTGCTTAAATCCTTCCAATAGATGTCTATCTCAGAAGAAAAGTAAAATTACAGTGGCCTTAGATGCTCTAAGTAACCTGCCCTCCACCTCCCACCCTGACTCAGCTGCTATATCTCTCCTCCCTACTCACTCCATTCCTACTCTATGTGAGTCCTGCCACTCGTTAGTCTGAAATCCTCCTTAGTCTGAAAATGGGGATCCAGTGTCAAACTAATAAATCACAGATAGCTATGCCTCTTTTTGTCCTGGACAAAGTTATATCCAAATGATAGTAATTGAGCCTTGAAATAAAAATTAGGAGCAAATTTTTTATTTAAAAATGAAAGTAAATTATAAATGCCAGTGGGAAGATTAAATCAAATATGATTTGGCTAAAATTTACTGCATTTTCCCCATATTATAAGTAAAATTAAATGCCTTTGAAAATAGAATGATCATATCTATACATAACTTGAGATTGAAATAGTTTCAGATTTAAGTCAAACTGACATGAAGAAAAACAAAATTTTACCAACTAAGACATATTTAAAGCTACTGAAGAAAAGTAATTATGAAATAGGGAATACACTTCAGCTCATCTAGGAAATCTGAAATTAACTGTCAAAGTACCCCACTTTATTGAATCAACTTCAAAATACCATTTTAGGTATGAGCATTTCCATATATCTGATTTATCATGGTCTTAAAATGTTGCAACATAAATACATTAAAATTATTATTTCAGTAGTATGACTATATTATTACTATTAGTCTATATTAACATTTTATAACTTAAAATTTTATAAGTGACACATTGACTTTAATCAGAGGAAAACATCTCTCAGATCTAACTTTGACTTGTTGGAAACAAGGAATGTTTCTAAGCAGATATATTTATCATATGTATCCTTTTTTATATTCAACTAGATCCAATATTCAGCTGTAACCAAATATTACTTTAAATTTTGCTTCAGGAAGTTTGAAAAATACTTATTTTTCTTGATACTTACTTCTCTTTCTGCTTTCTCTTTTTCATATTGGGGTTCTTTTTCTTTCAAATGATTCAATCCATTGACCATCCTTTTACTGTCTTCTTCTAGTAAAAGACGGTGCTTTCTGCACTCAGCTTGAAGGCTTTCTACTCTAGCATCACATCTGGCTTGAATATTAAGTATTGCTTTTTCTTGATTGTCAGCTTTGTTGCGAGCATCATCCAGTTGCTGTTGAAGCAACATATTTTGTTTAGTTGACAAAATCTTTCCTGCTTTTCTATGCATTTTTCCATTGTACTGTATCCACTTTTGTACATTTTTTCAGTGTCCTTCATTCAACTCTGTTTTTGCTTTAGCTCACTTTGCACGTGTTCAAAAACCAAAGCCTTTTCTTTCAGAGCCTCTCTTGTGTAATGGAGCTCAGTTTCGAGGACTCTGGACTTACTCTCAGCTTTGGAAAGTTGCAGAGAAAGAATCAGAATACAAAAATTCAAATTTTCCTGTAAATGACACCATTTATCTACTGTGCCCTGGAAAGCAAGCTCTTGATCTTTTTCTGATGAGTGACTTTGATCATGATCACATAGAGCAGCATTCAGTCTACAACCACATGATTGCATTTCTGTTTCCAGTCTTTGCCTACTCTCTCTTTGCTTCTCCAGTTTGGAATGCAGCGTTGTGTTTTCATCTGTCAGAGCAGCAAGCTGTCCACTGTAACAGGCTATCGTTTTTGCTAATGTTTCCCCATTCCGTTTTAGAGCCTTTTGAAGGTCTTCACGCTTTCTTTTCACAATTTCAAATTCTTTTAAGTATTTATTTTCCAGGTTTTGGTTTCTTATTGTGTCTTTTTCCAGCCTGAGCCAGGCAATTTCATCTTGCATCAAGCAGTTTTCATGCAGCAGGTCTTCTTTTTCATCAGTTTCAGAAATCTAAATAAAACAAAGAAAACTTGTAACTAGTATCCAATAGGATAACATATTGTGATTGTTTCTGAAATTAAATAATAACCCGTACATTTATACAATGAGAGGTTGCCATAACTGTATATCTAAATGGGAAAAAAGTTGAGTCAAAACCTCAAACCTCATATGGCATAAATTCCCCAAAGTTCAAAAGTTTATTTGAAGACAGTGAATCCATGAAAGCAAAAAAGAAACCACTAGATAATTTTTTTAAATTTCAGGATGAAAAAAGGCTTTTACTGAATTACAACAAATTGCAAGGCATAAAGAATTAATAACTATGACCACATTAAAAAATTGGGTTTACACTCTAACATCTAAACTATACCTCTCCCTGTAGTGAGAGCCTTAGCTTGGCAGACATTTGGACAGATGAATGACATTTTCCAAATTCTTTAAGCTCCCTTTTTCTAAAATATTGTCTAGATATTCTACTTTTCTAATATTTTTATGGTCAGTTTTAAGAATGATATTTATTGATAAATGATAAGTCTAGGCATTGTACTAAGCACTTTTACACACACAAATCAATGAACTCATTTAGTTATAATTCTATAGCAAAAGGTTAAAAATATAAGGAAGCTGCAGGATTTTTCCCAGCTTTTCTGACTCTACTCCTAGTGCTCTTCCACCAAATCAATAACTTCTGTGAGGTAGATACATACATACAAAAATAATCTTCTATTTCAAGACACCAAAAGTCAAGAAAATTAAATTTATAAAGCTCTTTTTAGAAAATCTTGAGATTATTTACTATTGGGATAACTTTTATTTCTTTTCCATAACATTTGAAACGTAATTAACATGAAATAGGGGAAAATATGCTGAACTATGTCACTAGGAACAAAATACTTACAATATCATTAAGTATATATTATAGAATAACATTGTTTTCATAAGGCCTTTGAACTAAAATAAAATATTTCAAGATTTATTATAAATAATTGTAGCTATAAATGCGATGATTTATTTTTTATTTTTTATTTTTATTTTTTTTTTTGAGACAGAGTCTCACTCTGTCGCCCAGGATCAGGGGACAGCATAATTTTGCTTTAATTCTACAGCACGTTTTCACCAAGGGTGGAAGGAGAATGAGTTGAAGTATAGATTTTACAGACGTCACATCGTATTGCTAAAAACAGACGGAAAAGTTATTGTAATAACCAGTAAAATTGTGGAACGAGAACCAATGAGATCACTGATGTAGCAATTATTTTCCTCAAGCAAGAGGGATTTTGAGGCAGGAAGGAGGGAAAAGAAGAAGTTATTTATGTAATTTTGGGGTTTCTGCTGAGGAAACCTGAGTCAACTCACTTCAGATGCATTTAGCATGTTTACACAAAAAGGATTTGATTTTGGCAGCTCCAGGAACTACTGGATGAAGCAAAGAAAGCTAGAATTGGGATAAACCACATTGACTAATTACTTCTCTTTGTTACTATTAGGCATAAGACATATCTTTTGTTGATTTTTGTTATAAAAACTAGATAAACTTGAATATCAATACATTGGCTTCATTCATCCAAGTGCTATCTCATGGATGAAATAGCTATTTAATGAATATGCAAATAGAAGAAAGCTTTAGGCCGGGCGCGGTGGCTCACGCCTGTAATCCCAGCACTTTGGGAGGCCGAGGCAGGTGGATCACGAGGTCAGGAGATCGAGACCATCCTGGCTAACACGGTGAAACCCCGTCTCTACTGAAAAATACAAAAAAAAATTAGCCAGGCGTGGTGGCCTGTAGTCCCAGCCACTTGGGAGGCTGAGGCAGGAGAATGGCGTGAACCTGGGAGGTGGAGCTTGCAGTGAGCTGAGATCGCACCACTGCACTCCAGCCTGGGCAACAGAGTGAGACTCCGTCTCCAAAAAAAAAAAAAGAAGGAAAGAAAGCTTTACATCTAAAGTTATTCTGAAAATTCAGTGGCTCAAACATGTCTGGAGACAAAAACTCCATTGCAGTGAAGAGCATTACTAGGTGGACAAAGGTCAAATGACAGGTGACCAGATCATGGGTCTTAGGCCTGTGATCCTGAAAGAATGTAAAAATGTGGAAGAGAAGATGGAAGATGTTGGCTGAGATTCTAATGCTAGCTTGACGACTAAAGGCATTTTTAAAAGATAACATAAGTGAAAACTGTGTTCATCCTAATGGCATAGAAGAAACATATTTTGTAGATCTGAAAAAAAATGACTTCATATCATCAATGTTCTTTCTTCAGTGTTTGAAATTATTACCATCATTATTATTTTTATTTTACTCACTTATTCTTGATTAACCTTGACGCTAAATTATTGATAATGTACCCCCTGCACTCTTTTCTAAGCCAAATAATTTTATATATATATAATTATTACTTTCTATATATAATGAATACATTTACAATCATGCCTGTATAGGGTGCACACTATCTATATTCCTAATGCCCTTTGCCCTCCATCTTTAGAAATCAATTTTTGTTATTTTTTGTTCTCTCATTTTATTTTTAGCACCCAATTCAGTGACAGGCATATAAAATGAATCACATTTGCACAGTTGAATTGAATAAAATATATGCTAAAGTGGAAAGACTCACTAAAGCAAACAATTAAAAATATATCCAATTGAGTCTTTCTCATGATCTATCACTTTGATATGGTTTATTCTTCACTCTTCCATGGTTTTTGATGCTTATGATTCTACTGGGCCCACCATGATAATTCATAATAGTCTTCTTATTTTTCATCAGCATATCGGCAATTTTGATCCCATTTGCAACCTTATATTCTCTTTGCCATAAATTGTAATGTATTTCCAGTATCTAAGAACTTGGATGTAAATATCTTTTTTAGGGAGTGGGGAACATTATTCTGTTTATCCAAACCCAAATTAACTGTATGTCTTAGAAATGGTCCTGGTGCTTTCCCAGTTTAGTTCACATCCCAGAGACTTATCATGTGAACTCTCTTCATCTCAGAGCAAAATTTTTAATATTTGCCTCTCAGTTATCAACAAGATAAACACTACTTTTAATCATTTTATTTCAACCAAGAGGTTGCATTAAAATAGTCACACCTGGTTCTTTTTCCTGAGACTTTACTTGATACAGGAATGTCAGTCTCCAATGAGAAATATAATGCCTCTCAAGTTTTCTTGGGATATCCTCAATACCATAATACCTTGTAAAATTTTGCAGAACAATTTTGCAGTTGCCATTTCATGTTATTTGGCAAGGATTCAGGTATCATTGTATCATTTTGCTTTAATCCATGGGTAAAAACAATTTAGCTTCATGCATGAAATATAAAAAACAGTAAATTAGCACAGATTTGGGGGGGGATGAAGGTGTGTCTGGTTATATATTCAAAGTCATTTATCATTACACTGTCCCCTAAATAAAAATATGAAAGGCAATGCAAACATCTTGACACTTAGTATTCTTGTCTAATAAACACAAGTGACTGAGGTAAAAAATATTGCTCTAAAACCACCAGGTATGTTTGATTTTATAAAGGAAATATGATCTAGGTTATTACATGGTTATTACTCTCTCTACAAAACTTTAGTAAGTGAATCCATTTATCATAAATGTCAGAATCAAACAATGAAAAGTTCCCACCAACATGTGTCTGCACCATCAGCATGGTTGAGTTCTGCTGTCAAGTTGAAATCAGAAAAAAAAAAAAAAAAAAAACATGGGGAGGCACCAAGATGGCCAAATAGGAACAGCTCTGGTCTACAGCTTCCAGCACTATCAACACAGAAGACAGATGATTTCTGCATTTCCAACTGAAGTACCTGGAACTGGTTGGACAGTGGATGTAGCCCACGGAGAGGGTGAGCTGAAGCAGGGTGGGGCATCACCTCATCCAGGAAGTACAAGGGGTTGGGGGATTTCCCTTTCCTAGCCAGGGGAAGCCATGACAGATGGTACCTGGAAAATTGGGACACTTCCACCCTAATACTGTGCTTTTCCAACAGTCTTGGCAAATGGCACACCAGGAGATTATATCCCGCACCTGGCTCGGAGGATCACACGCCCATGGAGCCTTGCTCACTGCTAGCTCAGTGGTCTGAGATCGAACTGGGAGGCAGCAGACAGGCTGGGGGAGGGGCATCCGCCATTGCTGAGGCTTGACTAGGTAAACAAAGCCACTGGGAAGCTTGAACTGGGTGGAGCCCACCACAACTCAACGAGGACTACCTGCCTCTGTAGACTCCACCTCTAGGGGCAGGGCATAGCTGAACAAAAGGCAGCAGAAACCTTCTACAGCAGAAGTTTCTACAGCCTTAAACTTCCCTGTCTGACAGCTCTGAAGAGAGCAGTGGTTCCCACAGAATGGAGTTTAAGCTCTGAGAATGGACAGACTGCCTCCTCAAGTGTGTCCCTGACCCCCAAGTAGCCTAACTGAGAGACACCTCCCAGTAGGGGTCAACTGACACCTCATACAGCCAGGTGCCCCTCTGAGACAGAGCTTCCAGAGGAAGGATCAGGCAGCAACATTTGCTGTTCTGCAATATTTGCTGTTCTGAAGCCTCTGCCAGTGATACCCAGGCAAACAGCGTCTGGAGTGGACCTCCAGCAAACTCCAACGGACCTGCAGCTGAGGAATCTGTTAGAAGGAAAACTAACAAACAAAAGCAATAGCATCAACATCAACAAAAAGGACATCCACACCAAAACCCCATCTGTAGGTCACCATCATCAAAGACCAAAGGGAGATAAAATGACAAAGATGGAGAGAAACTAGAGCAGAGAAGCTGAAAAGTCTAAAAACCACTGCACCTCTTCTCCTCCAAAGTGTCACAGCTCCTCCACAGCAATGGAACAAAGCTGGATGGAGAATGACTTTGATGAGTTGACAGAAGTAGGCTTCAGAAGGTTGGTAATAAAAAACTTCTCCAAGCTAAAGGAGGATGTTCGAACCCATCGCAAGGAAGCTAAAAACCTTGAAAAAAGATTAGATGAATGGCTAACTGTAATAAACGGCATAGAGAAGACCTTAAATGACCAAATGGAGGTGAAAACAATGGCACAAGAACTACGTGATGCATGCACAAGCTTCAGTAGCCGATTTGATCAAGTGGAAGAAAGGGGATCAGTGATTGAAGGTCAAATGAATGAAATGAAGTGAGAAGAGAAGTTTAGAGGAAAAAGAGTAAAAAGAAATGGACAAAGCCTCCAAGAAATATGGGGCTATGTGAAAAGACCAAATCTACTTATGATTGGTGTACCTGAAATTGACAGGGAGAACGGAACTAAGTTGGAAAACACTCTTCAGGATATTATCCAGGAAAACTTCCACAACTTAGCAAGGCAGGCCAACATTCAAATTCGGGAAATACAGAGAACACCACAAAGATACTCTATGAGAAGAGCAACCCTGAGACACAGAATTGTCAGATTCACCAAGGTTGAAATGAAGGAAAAAAGGTTAAGGGCAGCCAGAGGGAAAGGTCGGGTTACCCACAAAGGGAAGCCCATCCGACTAACAGCAGATCTCTGAGCACAAACTCTACAAGCCAGAAGAGAGTGGGGGCCAATATTCAACATTCTTAATGAAAAGAATTTTCAACACAGAACTTCATATCCAGCCAAACTAAGCTTCATAAGTGAAGGAGAAAGAAAATCCTTTATAGACAAGCAAATGCTGAGAGATTTTGTCACCACCAGGCCTGCCCTACAAGAGCTCCTGAAGGAAGCAGTAAACATGGAAAGAACAACCAGTACCAGCCACTGCAAAAACATGCCAAATTGTAAAGACCATCGATGCTAGGAAGAAACTGAATCAACTAATGGGCAAAATAACCAGCTAACATCATAATGACAGGATCAAGTTCACATATAACAATATTAACCTTAAATGTAAATGGGCTAAATGTTCCAATTAAAAGACACAGACTGGCAAATTGGATAAAGAGTCAAGACCCATCAGTGTGCTGTATTCAGGAGACCCATCTGACATGCAGAGACACATATAGGTTCAAAATAAAGGGATGGAGGAAGATCTACCAAGCAAATGGAAAACAAAAAAAAGCAGGGGTTGCAATCCTAGTCTCAGGAGAAACAGACTTTAAGCCAACAAAGATCAAAAGAGACATAGAAGGCCATTACATAATGGTAAAGGGATCAATTCAACAAGAAGAGCTAACTATCCTAAATATATATGCACCCAATACAGGAGCACACAGATTCACAAAGCCAATCCTTAGAGATGTGCAAAGAGACTTAGACTCCCACACAATAATAATGGGTGACTTTAACACCCCATTGTCAACATTAGACAGATCAACGAGACAGAAAGTTAACAAGGATATCCATGATTTGAACTCAGCTCTGCACCAAGTGGACCTAAGAGACATCTATAGAACTCTGTACCCCAAATCAACAGAATATACATTCTTCTCAGCACCCCATCTCACTTATACTTAAATTGACCACATAGTTGGAAGTAAAGCACTACTCACAAATGTAAAAGAACAGAAATCACAACAAACTGTCTCTCAGACAACAGTGCAATCAAATTAGAACTCAGGATTAAGAAACTCACTCAAAACTGCCCAACTACATGGAAACTGAACAACATGCTCCTGAATGACTACTGGGTACATAATGAAATGAAGGCAGAAATAAAGATGTTCTTTGAAACCAAAGAGAACAAAGACACAACATACCAGAATCTCTGGGACACATATAGAGCAGTGTGTAGAGGGAAATTTATAGCACTAAATGCCCACAAGAGAGATCAGGAAAGATCTAAAATCGATACCCTAACATCACAATTAAAAGAACTAGAGAAGCAAGAGCAAACACATTCAAAAGCTAGCAGAAGGCAAGAAATAACTAAGATCAGAGCAGAACTGAAGGAAATAGAGGCAAAAAAAGCCTTCAAAAAATCAATGAATCCAGGAGCTGGTTTTTTGCAAAGATCGACAAAATAGATAGACCACTAGCAACACTAATAAAGAAGGAAAGAGAGAAGAATCAAATAAACACAATAAAAAATGATAAAGGGGATATCACCACCGATCCCACAGAGATACAAACTACCATCAGAGAATACTATAAACACCTCTATGCAATAAACTAGAAAATTTAGAAGAAATGGATAAATTCCTCGACACATACACCCTCACAAGACTAAACAAGGAAGAACTTGAATCCTTGAATAGACCAATAACAGGCTCTGAAATTGAGGCAATAATTAATAGCCTACCAACCAAAAAATGTCCAGGACCAGATGGATTCACAGCCAAATTTTACTAGAGGTACAAAGAGGAGCTGGTACCATTCCTTCTGAAACTATTCCAATCAATAGAAAAAGAGGGAATCCTCCCTAACTCATTTTATGAGGCCAGCATCATCCTGATACCAAAGCCTGACAGAGACACAACAAAAAAAGAGAATTTTAGACCAATATCCCTGATGAACATCGATGCAAAAATCCTCAATAAAATACTGGCAAACCAAATCCAGCATCACATCAAAAAGCTTATCCACCAAGATCAAGTTGGCTTCATCCCTGGGATGCAAGGCTGGTTCAGCGTAAGCAAATCAACACACATAATCCAGCATATATACAGAACCAATGAAAAAACCACATGATTATCTCAATAGATGCAGAAAAGGCCTTTGACAAAATTCAACAACGTTTCATGCTAAAAACTCTCAATAAATTAGTTATTGATGGGACGTATCTCAAAATAATAAGAGCTGTCTATGACAAACCCACAGCCAATATCATACTGAATGGACAAAAACTGGAAGCATTCCCTTTGAAAACTGGCACAAGACAGGGATGCCCTCTCTCACCACTCTTATTCAACATAGTGTTGCAAGTTCTGGCCAGGGCAATCAGGCAGGAGAAAGAAATAAAGGGCACTCAATTAGGAAAAGAGGAAGTCAAATTGTCCCTGTTTGCAGATGACATGATTATATATCTAGAAAACCCCATTGTCTCAGCCCAAAATCTCCTTAAACTGATAAGCAACTTCAGCAAAGTCTCAGGATACAAAATCAATGTGCAAAAATCACAAGCATTCTTATACACCAATAACAGACAAACAGTGAGGCAAATCATGAGTGAACTCCCATTCACAATTGCTTCAAAGAGAATAAATACCTAGGAATCCAACTTACAAGGGATGTGAAGGACCTCTTCAAGGAGAACTATGAACTACTGCTCAATGAAATAAAAGAGGATACAAACAAATGGAAGAACATTCCATGCTCATGGGTAGGAAGAATCAATATCGTGAAAATGGCCATACTGCCCAAGGTAATTTATAGATTCAATGCCATCCCCATCAAGCTACCAATGACTTTCTTCACAGAATTGGAAAAAACTACTTTAAAGTTCATATGGAACCAAAGAAGAGCCTGCATTGCCAAGTCAATCTTAAGCCAAAAGAACAAAGCTGGAAGCATCACGCTACCTGACTTCAAACTATACTACAAGGCTACAGTAACCAAAACAGCATGGTACTGGTACCAAAACAGAGATATAATCCAATGGAACAGAACAGAGCCCTCAGAATTAATGCCGCATATCTACAACCATCTGATCTTTGACAAACCTGACAAAAGCAACGGGGAAAGGATTCCCTATTTAATAAATGGTGCAGAGAAAACTGGCTAGCCATATGTAGAAAGCTGAAACTGGATCCCTTCCTTACACCTTATACAAAAATTAGTTCAAGATGGATTAAAGACTTACATATTAGACCTAAAACCATAAAAACCCTAGAAGAAAACCTAGGCAATACCATTCAGGACATAGGCATGGGCAAGGACTTCATGTCTAAAACACCAAAAGCAATGGCAACAAAAGCCAAAATTGACAAATGGGATCTAATTAAACTAAAGAACTTCTGCACAGCAAAAGAAACCACCATCAGAGTGAACAAGCAACCTACAGAATGGGAGAAAATTTTTGCAACCTACTCATCTGACAAAAGGCTAATATCCAGAATCTACAATGAACTCCAACAAATTTACAAGAAAAAACAAACAACCCCATCAACAAGTGGGCGAAGGACATGAACAGACACTTCTCAAAAGAAGACATTTATGCAGCCAAAAAACACATGAAAAAATGCTCATCATCACCGGCCATCAGAGAAATGCAAATCAAAACCACAATGAGATACCATCTCACACCACTTAGAATGGCGATCATTAAAAAGTCAGGAAAGAACAGGTGCTGGAGAGGATGTGGAGAAATAGGAACACTTTTACACTGTTGGTGGGACTGTAAACTAGTTCAACCATGGTGGAAGTCAGTGTGGCCATTCCTCAGGGATCTAGAACTAGAAATACCATTTGACCCAGCCATCCCATTACTGGATATATACCCAAAGGATTATAAATCATGCTGCTATAAAGACACATGCACACGTATGTTAATTGTGGCAGTATTCACAATAGCAAAGACTTGGAACCAACCCAAATGTCCAACAATGATAGACTGGATGAAGGAAATGTGGCACATATACACCATGGAATACTATGCAGCCATAAAAAAGGATGAGTTCATGTCCTTTATAGGGACATGGATGAAGCTGGAAACCATCATTCTCAGCAAACTATCGTAAGGACAAAAAACCAAACACCACATGTTCTCACTCATAGGTGGGAATTGAACAATGAGAACACATGGACACAGGAAGGGGAACATCACACACCAGGGACTGTTGTGGGGTGGGGGGAGTGGGGAGGGATAGCATTAGGAGATATACCTAATGCTAAATCACAAGTTAATGGGTGCAGCACACCAACATGCCACATGTATACATATGTAACAAGCCTGCACGTTGTGCACATGTACCCTAAAACTTAAAGTATAATAATAATAATAATAATAATAATAATGATAATAATACATTTTTAAAAAGAGAATTTCTTTGTTAGTTTTCATCACAATGATTGTTCTGTCTAAAGCTGTCAGTGGGATGTTCAAATCCCCCACTATTTTTTTTTTAATTATACTTTAAATTTTAGGGTACATGTGCACAACGTGCAGGTTAGTTACATATGTATACACGTGCCATGTTGGTGTGCTGCACCCAGTAACTCGCCCCCACTATTATTGTGTGGCTGTCTAAGTCTTTTTGCAGGTTTAGAAGTATTTGTTTTATGAATCAGAGTGCCCTCATGTTGGATGCCTATATTTTCAGGATTTTTATGTCTTCTTGTTGAACTAAATGCTTCATCATTATGTAATGCCTTTTTTTTTTTTACTGTTGTTGGTTTAAAGTCTGTTTTATATGACATAGCAATAGCAACCTCTGGTCTCTTTGTTTTTCATTTGTATGAGAGATCTTTCTCCAACCCTTTCCTTTCATCCCATGGATGGCATTACATATTAGATAGGTCTCTTGAAGACAGTATATGGTTGAGTCTTCCAACTTACCACTCTGTCCCTCTTAAGTAGGGTGTTTGGACCATTTACATTCAAGGTTAATATCGATATGTGAGATTTGTATCTTGTCATTGTTTTGTTAGCTGGTTGTTTCGTAGATTCAACTGTGTAGTTGCTTTACATGGTCTTTGGGCTATGTATTTAAGTGTGTTTTATGTTAGCAGGTTTTATTTTTCATTTCCCTAAAGAACCTCTTGTAAGGCTAGTGTAATGGTAACAAATTCTCTTAGCATTTGCTTGCCAGGAAAGGATTTTATTTCTTCTTTGCTTAAGAAGCTTAGTTTGGCAGGATATGAAATTATTGGTTGGAATTTATTTTCTTTAAGGATGCTGAAAATAGGCTCCTAAGATTTTAAGGATTGTAAGGTTTCTGCTGATAGGTCTACTGTTAGCCTAATAGAGTTCCCTTCGAAAGTGACCTGACCCTTTCCTCTAACTCCTGTTAAGGCTTTTATTTTCATGTTGACCTTGGAGAATCTGATAACTGTGTCTTGGTGATTGTTGTCCTGTATAGTACTTCACAAAAGTACTCTAAATTTCTTGAATTGGCATGTTGGCCACTCTAATGTGATTGAGGATATTTTTGTGTGGATTATATTCCCAACAACTTTTCCAATTTTTTTTTTTTTAGATGGAGTCTCGCTCTGTCCCCCAGGCTGGAGTTCAATGGCACAACCTTGGCTCACTGCAACCTCCACCTCCCAGGTTCAAGCAATTATGCTGCCTCAGCCTCCCAAGTAGTTGGGACTACAGGCATGCACCACCACACCTGGCTAATTACATATTTTTAGTAGAGACTGGGTTTCTACATGTTGGTCAGGCTGGTCTCAAACTCCCAACCTCAGGTGATCAGCCTGCCTCAGCCTCCCAAAGTGCTGGGGTTAGAGGCATGAGCCACCACGCCCAGCCTGTTTTAACTCTTTGATTATCTGAATCTTCCAATTCCCCCCAACCACCAGTGAATTATTTCTGCTAATTTTTTTTTCTGTTTTTGAAAAGAGAATGATGGAAACCAACCCTGTTCCAGTGGGAGAGTACAGGGATTCCCTGGAAAGACTCTGGCTTGGAGCCCTCAGACCAGAGTTTAGGTCCAGGGGTCCACTTGGTGACTCAGGAGAAACCCTGGACCCCACCTCAAGGAATCTTGGATCCCCCAGTGGGGGTCTCAGAAGCAGGAGGTTGCTGGGCCACGGCAGGGACAAGGCTTTCTCCAGCACCCCCATGCAAGGTTCCTCCATAGGAAGAAATCATGTTGCCCGTTCCGCAGCAGGCATGCCATCCCAGGCCCCTGAGAACCCCAGGGGACATCCCTGCTCTGCCAACCGTGTGAATACACTCCACCTCCCAGCCTCTGCCATGTCACAGATGACTTGAGGCTTCAGATGAGTGACTCCCCAGAGTCACATGGGCCTATGCTTGGGTCCCAGCCTCTTCTATGACCCTTGAGGTGGCTCTCAGCGTAGGAGGCTGATTTCTAGGCCTCTCTGTGCTGTTCTGTGAATGGGACAGGTAACAGACCTCTATGGCAGGCAATAAATGCCAAGTGCCCACCACAAGGCCTGGCAACAAACTCTCAGCAAATTCAGGTCATTCTCTGGGAGTGGCCACAGATGATTCTCAGAACCCCAACCTCTGGCACTGCTCCAGCCTATGCTGGACCCTTCATCATCCAGGTGTCCCAGGCCCACAAGTATCTGACACCTCAGGTGGCACTTGTGGCCCACTGTGTGACCCTAAGCATACCTCCATGTTCTCTGGGCTGAGTCTCTGAGCCGCCACAGCTCTGCAGAGCCCAGGCTGTGGGCTCCAGCCCCTGACCTCCAGCTTGACTTACTAAATGTAATCTCCAGGGCTAATTTTAGTCCTGGGCAGGAATTGGACACATTCCCATGGCTAGGATGAGTCCCTGGAGGCTGGAGGTGACACCATCCCACAGGACCCAGTGCCAAGATAATCCCCCAAATGACCCCTATGCATGTGGTCTCATGAGAGCCGGGACTGGGGCTGAGCTTGGGCCTGAGTCTCTTGGGCATAGAAGGCTCAACTAAGCCCCTTCTCAATCTGTCTCAATTTTAGTTATAGGGACACTATGGCTAGTGCAGAGGTCACGTGACAGGGGAACCCCGAGAGGCAGGAAGTTGGGGGCCTTTCTGGACTGATGTCCTAGAGCTGAGACAGGAAGTGAATTCCATGCAGAAGAAACAGCAGGTACAAAGATCCCAAGGGGGAGAGAAACAGCAGTGAGGTTGGAGTGGGTGGGGAGGGCAAGAGGCCACAGAGGCTGGGCCACACTGGGCCTTCTGAGCTGCAGGAGGCTCTGGGTTTTAGTCTAAGAGCAAAGACGAGCTATGAGAGGGTTTTGAGGAGAGAAGGGATGGGGCTGATTTATCATTTTAACACGCAGCTCATGGCTACCATGGAAAGCAGGACTATCAGGGCTGGGGTGGAGATGGCAGGAGGCTGGAGATGAGGTCAGGGCTGTGTCCATCTGAGCAGAGCCTGGGGCGGTACCCTCTCTGTGCTGGTCTGTACCTCACACTGTAAGTCACTGGATCCCACGGCTTATTTGGCCCTCCAGAACATCAGGAGGTCCCCCACCAACTCTGGTGCGAGGTGACAGGTGCAGATGAGTTGATGCGGGGCTTAACTCTCCTGACCCCCCATGACACTGGAACTCTCCTGATCCCATCACCAAAGAACCAAGCTGTCCCCCACTCTGCCCCTGAGAGATCAAGCTCTAATCATGGCCTCCCTTGCTCACACATTCTCCATGGTTCCACATTGACCTTGTGAGAAAATTTCTGCATCCAGCCTGACATTCAAACACCTTGCCCTAATCAACTCCTGCCTGCTTCTCTCTATCTTTGACAAATATTTCTGTCTAGAAGGTCCTTTTTTCCCTTCTTCACCTAGCCAAATCCTATTCACACTTCAGAACTCAGCTCAGGTCAGATAAGGTGGTTCATGCCTGTAATTCCAGCACTCTGAGAGGCCAAGACAGGAGGATTACTTGAACCCAGGAGTTTGAGACCAGCCTGAACAACATGATGTAACCCCATCTCTACAAAAAATACAAAAATTAGCTGTGTGTGGTGGCATGTGCCTGTAGTCCCACCCTGAAGTAGGAGGATCAATTGAGCATGGAAGGTCAAGGCTGCAGTGAGCAGTGATTGTGCCACTGCATTTCAGACTGAGCTACAGAGAAAAAAAAAAACTCAGCTCAAGAACAAGCATTCCTCCAAGAAGCCCTCCCTGTTGTTCCTCTGGAATCCCACAGTCCCCATCCTTCCCCTGTAGTTCTGACCCCATGGGGCTGGCAGTAGATACATCCAACTTTGTCTCCCCTAGACTAGACAGCCCTCTAGATCAGGCCTAGGAGTGGACAGTAAAATTTAGAGAGTGCAACAGGTGAAGAGAGACGTGACTGACTCCCTCCTCTTTAGCTTCCCTTGACAGCTTCCTCTCAGACTGCCCCAGCTGATATCCTGCCCAGAAACACACATGCTTGCAAATCCAGCCACTAACCATTGACCTGTCTTGGACTCAAGTGTGAAGAGCCAGCCAAGGAATGCAGACCTGGAAGCCTAGGGTGTATGTGTGTGTATTTGTAGTCAAGTGAAAATCCCACCCAAGCTCCAGACAGACCCTGGCGGCCCATTCTGCAGATGTTGGTGAGGTTGGTATTTCTGTGGAGGTGTCAGCAAAGGTTGAATGCGCCAGGCATGAGGCAAAGGCCAAGGTTTAGGGGGACTTCTACACACACACCTGCCCCCTTGCCTTGTCCAGCCAGAAAGCAGAGAGCAGTGGCATCTGCCCAGCACAGAGGCAGATGGGTGGATCCACTCACCCGAGGATAGAGCAGGGAAGACGGGACAGGAGAAATCCAAGAGGGCTTCTCAGGGGAGGAGGCGTGTAGTTTGGCTTAGATACAGAGGCTAGACAGGGGCCTGAGCAGATGAGTAGGGGACTGGGCATTTGAAGCCAAGAGTCTTGCACCTCCCTACCCCTTTCTTTGCACCCTCATACTCGAGCATTTATTAGCTACTTGTGCTAACCACTGAGCTAAGCTGACCTCCAAGTAATTAGAAAGCTTAAGTAAACCAACATCTGTAGATGAGAAAGGTGACTGAGGACCTACTGTTACAAAGGCAAGGTAATTTGAGGCTGTAATGAGCTATGAGCAACTGTGTTCCAGCCTGGGAGACAGAATGTAAAAAAATAGTAATAACAGAAAGTATACATCAATCTCAATTTTTTTTAAAAAGGCAGATGGTTTTACAGTTGTTTTATCAAAACTCAAAGAACAGGAAAGCCCACATTATTTCAGCAAAGTCAGACCTTTTAAACAGATGATAGCTGCCCAAGTCATTTTTATGAAACTTCTTTATATCAAAACCTAAGTCTAAAAAGAAAAGTGTTGACCTTGATACGGGCTGTGTTAGGCAGAGATTTCAATGAAGTCCTCTCTGAAGAGGTGACATTTGATCTGAGACCTGAAGCACCAGAAAGAGGCAGCCAAGCCAGGAAGAGGCAGGAATGGGAAGGTCTAGGGAAAGACTGGTCCTGGCAGGCGGAACTGCAGTGGCAAAGGCCCAGCGGTGATCAGGAGCTTGGCATTTGCAAAAATAGTGTGTGTGACTGGACAGCGTGAGCAAGTGGGCAGAGGAGGAGATCGTGATAGGGTGTGCACTGGTCAGGCCACCTAGGTCCTGGAGCCCACAGTGAGAAGCATGGGCTTGACTCTGAGGGCAAAGGAGAGCCACGGAGAGTTTGGGTAAGGGGGAAAATTGGCATTTAATTTTATAGCTTTTTGAAGTTTGTTTTGTTTTCTTAGAAACAAGGTCTCAGTCTGTTACCCAAACTGGAGTGCAGCTCAAAATATTTTCCAATTTATCTTGTGATTTTTTTTGATCCAATGATTTAGAGGTGGGTTGTTAAATTTTCACATATTTTCAGATGTCCAATATTTCTTACTGTTGTTAGTTTCTAATTCTGTTTCAGTCAGATAACTTATTTGTTTTCCCTGTCTCTCCTGTCTTCTGATCCTGTTTTTCCATTGACTACCATTTTTAAAATCAACTTATTTCAGTGTGTCATTTACAATCCTATTTTAATTTTTTGCTCTTTCTCTGAAGTGGTTGTTCCAGGGATTATAATGTGCTTTTCCATTTTTCCAACGAATGAAGAACAAAGTGATCGACTTCTTGCCTCTGCCGGGGCTCTGAAGCGCTGCCCCGAGGCGGTGGATGGAGGGTGTCAGGCGTGACATCAAGAGCTCTGCAGCCAGGGCCTGGGACAACCTCCCGCTCCACCTCCCCGGAGCCTCGCAGCCAGCATCCCCAGCGGCCCGTGCGCCCCGGCCAGGCGGGACCTCAGCGCTGTGGCGGCCGCAGACCTCACCTGGGCAGGCCCCGGGCTGCATGCGGACCGCCGGGCGCCCAGGACCCTAGAGGCAACCAGCGGGCTGGATCCGCACAGCGGCCATGGGGAATGGATGGTGTACAGGGGACAAAGCTACACACGTCTTTCATTTTGGAGGGGGGAAAAAAGAAAAAACGGAAATGAAAGATAGAAAATGTGTGGGCTCTCCGTCCTTTCCTTTGCTCCTGAGCGCTCTCTGGGGTGGGGGGCTCAGCGAGCTTCAAGAGGTGGCCGAGATTCCCCCACCTCGCCCCCAGATCCCCGGGAGAGGTCAGCACGGCCCCTCCCGTGGGTGTCACAGAGACCGATGCGGGTCCCGCTCCCCGGGAAGGAGTGGGTCTGGGTCCAGTCCACAGGATCCCCTCGCGGATGCTGACGCAGAATGGAGTTGAGGTGGGGGCAGCGCTGGACCCCAGGGTCCCTCCCTGCCTCCTGGGGAGCCCGGTGACCCAGGCAGCCCTGGTGAGGCCGCAGGAGTCTGGGCCCTAGCGACGCCCCCGGGCTCCCACAGGACGAATGTAGACGGTGAGGCCAAGGACGCCCTGCTGCCCTCGGGACTGTCCCTCCAGCCCCCAGCTTTCCGTGGCTATTGGGCCCCCTCTGCAGAGGGGCAGGGGAGCCCACCCTGGATCCTGAGGCGCCGAGCTTGAGGGACCCCAGAGCTCCAGCCAGGCCGCTTTCTTTGAGGATGGTGAAGCTGAGGTCCCGAGGAGGGCAGGGGCAGGTCCCGGGCGCTCCTCAGGCAAAGGGAGCCGATTTAGGGGCTGGGGTCACAGGAGGGGCTTCTGCGACCTCTAGGGCCCTAGAGCCCGGGAGGATGACAGACTGGGGGCCTTTCTTCCACCCCTGGGGCTGGGCAGACGCTCAGCCTGTGCAACCCGAAGCTGCTTCTGCCCAGTCCCAGCCGCGGCCCCTTTAAGAGGGGGTGGTGCTTCAGCCTGGCGCCAGGGACGCTGCCAGCATGCAGGCCCCGAGGGAAGCCGAGACTGCGCTTCGTGCGAGGCCCGGGCAGCATCGGCGGCGTGGTCAGAGCGAGTCTCGGAGAAGATGTGGTGGCTTCCGTTTGTTGGTGGAGGAGGTGGCAGGCCTCGGCGGTAAGTGGAGGGGGATGAACCCCACCTGGAACCCTCTGGGTCTCCCTACTCCTTCCCGGCCGCTCCCTGCTTTCGGGCCCTGACTTCTAAGTGGGCATCTGGGCCCGAGTCGTCAGCGTTGGGGCGGTTGTGGGATCCTGGCCTCTGCAGCGTCCACACCCCCGCCGGGAAGGCTATGCCCCGGTCCGACCCACGTCCAGCCTATAGGAGCGCCCTGGCCCAGAGCCGGCGGTGAAGCGCTGGACTGGGTCCCTCCGAGCCCCACGGGCCTCTGAGCTGGGGTCTAGGGTTATTTTTTATGCCTCAGGACCTTTAGAAAGAGACCTCGCTAGAGCAGGGGACATCTGTAGTTTCAATTCTTTGAGGAGTTTCCAGCTATTTAACTGTTTTCCATGGTGTGTACCCTAATTTTCATTTCCACCTACAGTGTATGAGTTCCCGTTTCTCCAAAACCAAACCCCCATTCCAATTTTTTTTGTTTTTGTTATTTCGAGACGGAGTCTCGCTCTGTCTCCAAGGCTGGAGGGCAGTGGCGCCATCTCGGCTCACTGCAACCTCCACCTCCCGGTTTCAAGCAATTCTCCTGTCTCAGCCTCCTGTGTAGCTGGGACTACAGGCGCCCGCCACCACGCCCGGCTAATTTTTGTATTTTTATGTTTAGTAGAGACGGGGTTTCACGATATTTGTCAGGCTGGTCTGAAACTCGTGACCTCAGGTGATCCACCCGCCTTGGCTTCCCAAAGTGCTGGGATTACAGACGTGAGCCACGGCTCCCAGACCCTCCTATTTTTAAAAAATTTTTCTAGGAATATTCAATAAGTGTGAGACTATCTGCGTGTGGTTTTGAATTACAGTATTCTAATGAATAGTTAATTTCGAGGACCTTATCTCTTATCTGTTGTTCGATTTTATATCTGTGCAGAATTGTCTCTTTAGGTTATTTGCGAAATATTAGATTGGATTCTTTTTCTACTTTGTACTCTTTTTTGTGTACACGTTAGTTGACAACTCCTCGTGAATTACATGATTGCCTGAAATTTTTGCATAATCTATGGGATGCTTTTTTATTTGGAAAGTAGTTTTCTTTGCCATGCAGAAACTTTTCACGTTGATGTAGTCCCATATTTTTTTTTTTTTTGCGTTTTATGCGTGTCATAATGGTCACCCATATTAGAAAATATGCATCAGTAACAAAGCATTTAATTGTCAGTGAGGTTTTTCTTCCAGGGTGTTTGTTTCTTTTCCTCTTTGCAAAGGTTAACAGAGATTCAAGTGACCCAAAATATATGCTCAACCTGTGTTTTACTTAAGTAAACACAGTAATTTTTTAAAAAACATTTTGTGGTTTATGGTATTTTGTTTTGGCCTTCAGTTGATGGGGGGGGCGGTTGATTTTCATACATCGTGTAAAATAAGGGTCCTGTTTCTCGCTTTTGCATCCGGATATCATTTTTCTCAAAGCTATTCATTGATCAGACTCTGCCTTCCACATTGTGGTGTTCTTTATCAAAGTCAGTTGACTGTGTCCATATTTGTGTTGTTTTTGTCCTCCCTGTTTTTGTCCATAGTTCTAGGTATTTCTTTTTATGCAAGTACCATATATCTACTGCATAACTACAACTTGGCAATTTAATTTGATATCAAGGATTGTGGGTTCTCACTTTGATTGTATTTCTCAGGATTCCTTTAGATATTCATTGCTTTTGTGGTTCCCTGTGATTTTTAGCACTATGTATTTATTTCTGTTAATTTTTTTACAACATAAAGGGCCATAATTAGGGGTACATTTTTATACATATAAATTGGGTAATGATCAAATCAGGGTACTTAGGATCTCTATTCCCTCATACAGGTATTATTTTTGTGTAAAGAGAACATTCAAAATTCTCCTTGCTCTTTAGAAAAATGTAATACGGTTAAGTCCAGTCACCAGGCTGAGGAGAACACTCAGATTTATTCTTTTAATGTTAAGATAACTTTGTTTCCATAACCAATCCTTCTCCATTCCCCTTCTGTCTCCCAGACTCTGGTAACCAATATTGTGCTTTCTACTTCTTTAAGATAAACATCTTAAGATTTCACATGAGTGGTATCATGCAGTGTTTGTCTTTCTAGGCCTAGCTCATCACATTTATCATAATGTTTTCCAGGTTCATCTGGGTTGCTCTAAATGACACTGTTTGATTATTCTGATAGCCGAAGAATATTCCCCAGTGTATGTATATGAGAGTTTCTTGATCTCTTTATCTGTGGGTGAACAGGTAGGTTGAATATATAGCCAGTAGTGGGACTGCTAGATGGTATGGTATTTCCTTTTTTTTTTTCTATTGTTTGCAGGACCCCCAACTGTTTTTTATAGTGTTAATACCAATTTACATTTCCACAAACAGTCCCCCTTTCTGGAAATTCATACCAGGAATTTTATTTTTAAATATTTTAATCTTTTTGTGATGTTCATTCTAGTTGGAGTGAGATAAGATCTGAGAGTGGTTTTGATCTACATTTTTCTCATGAGTAGTAATGTTAACCACGTTTTTATAAATGTTGAATCTGTTTTCTGTCTTCTTTGCACAAATATCTACTCAGGTTATTTGCCCAATTTTGGTCTGGTTATTTCTCTGTTGTTTTGTTTTTTTGCCAGCCGTTAGTGTTACTGGCTTGTGCCTTTTCAAAAGTAACCTGTTATCCACTGTATGTTTGCCCAAACTTTTCTTATAAGTTTTAGTATGCCTTTTCATTTTGTTCGTTGTTTCTTTCCTTTTTTGGGCACAAATTCTTCAGTTTGATGCGGTCCCACATGTAATTTCTTGGTTAGTGTGCTATTGTTTACTAATCAAGAAAAAACAAAATCACTGCCAAAGCAGTCCATTGTCAGTGATTTTTCCCTTGTATTTTTGTTACTTTTTGCAAACCGTGAGCATACATCCAAGTTTCCCTAAATATACATACACTCGAGGTTGTGTTTATAAGAGCTTTATGGTTGCAAGTTTTGTGAATTATTTCTGTATTATTTAGTACCACACTTTTTGTATTATTTAGTACACTAAATATATTTTGTATTATTTAGTACACTAAATATATTTTGTATTATTTAGTACACTAAATATATTTTGTATTATTTAGTATAAATACAAAATAATACAAAATAAAAATTTTTTTATTATTTAGTACACACTATTTGTATTATTTAGTACCACACTTTTTGCAAACCGGGAGCATACATCCAAGTTTCCCTAAATATACACACACTCGAGGTTGTGTTTATAAGAGCTTTATGGTTGCAAGTTTTGTGAATAATCTTTAATCCTTTTGAGTTAAAGTGTTTTTTTTTTTTGGTACCACAAGAGTCCTGTATTATTTAGTACCACAAGAATCCTGTATTATTCTTTTGCATATGGATATCTAGTTTTGGAAACCTTCCCCATTGTGTTGTTTTGGTGGTGTTTTGAAAAATGTGTTCACTCTGTGTAAATTTGTGTTTATTATTGAGCGCCCTCATTTTGCTCACTGGTCTGTGTTTCTCTGTGTATGCCAGTAACATATGGGTTGGTTAACTAGGGATTTTCCTTTAATTAGAACCCAGGGAATGTGATGCAGCCCATATGGTTTGTATTTCTCAGGATTGCTTTAGAAATTCAGGGTGTTTCATATTTCCACATAAATTTTGGCATTGTTTCTTTGTATTTCTTAAAACACTATTTGCTATATACTAAGTGTATATAAGCAGAGGGTACAAGAAAGATTTCGATACATGTATATGTTGAGTAATGAAAAAATCAGGTTATTTAGCATCTCTTCACCTCATAGTTACTACTTTTTGAGTGGTAACAACATTCAGAATCTTTCCTTCTAGCTACTTTGAAATATATGATACATTTGTATTAAGGCTAGTCACCCTGCTGTAGAATAGAAGACCAGAATTGATTACTGTCATCTAAGAGTAACTTTGTACCCATTACTGATTCCTTTCCAGACCCTCTCCACCTCCCCAGCAGCCTCTGGTAATCCCTATTGAACTTTCTACTTCTAGGAGATAAAGCTTTTTTCAGTCTACATGTCTGAGATCACATGGCATGGGACTTTCTCTACCAGGCTCATTTGTTGGACCTGATGTTCTCCAGGTTTCTTCATGTGGCTGCAGATGGCAGGATTTCCCAAAGCTTTATGGCTGAAACATATTCCGTGGTGTATCTGTATGGCAGTTTCTTCATCCCTGAAGCTGTGTACAGACAGGTAGGTTGGTTTTGTACCTTGGCCACAGTTAGGAGTGCTTTAGTACCCATGGGAAGGTAGGTAACTCTCTTCAACCTAGGGATTTCAAGTGCTTTAATTGTGGAACCAGTGATGGGGCTTCTAGCTGACATGGTAGTTGTACTGTGAATTTTTTCAGGAACCTCTAGCTGTTTTTCATAGTGTGTATACTAATTTACATCCCCACCAATAGCATTTAAGAGGTTTCTCTTCTGTAAGTCTACACTGGCTGTCACCTTTAAAAATTTGTGTTTTGTTTGTTTTTGGTAGTATTCATTCTGAGTGGAATGAGATGGACTCTTAGTGTGGTTTTTGTGGACATTTTTGTGGGGATTGGTGATGTCGAGAAAGTTATTTGAGAAATCCCCACATCGTTTTCCATGGTGTCTGAACTAGTTTGCATTTCTACCAACAGCAGACCAGCATCCTCTCCTCCTCTGCCTCGCTGGCATTCATTCTTGTGGACTGTGTCATAATTGTCATTCTGACCAGTGTGAAATACTATCTCATGGGCCTTTTGCTTTGCATTTCTCTGATGATTACTGAGGTAGAGAAATGTCCTGTCCGTTGGTTGCTATAAACCTTCCTTTGAGATGTGTGTTTTCATGCCCTTTGCCCTTTCTTCACTGAGTTTTTGTTTTGCTGATTTATTTGCTTAACATTTTTGAGGTAGATCCTGGATATCAGACTTCATGAGATGCATACATGGGGACATTATCTCCCATTGTGTAGGCTTTCTGTTTACTCTGTTGGTAATTTCTTCTGCTGTTCAGCAGCTCTTTTGTATATTAGGTCCCACTTGTCAATAATTGTTTTAGTTGCACTTGCTTTTGGGGACTTAGGCATATCCATGCTGTGCCAAATCCTCTGTCAGGAAGTGTATTTCCTAGGTTCCGTTGCAGGCTTTTAATAGTTTGAGGTCTTGCATTTACAGCTTTCATTCATCTTGAGTTAATTTCTGTACATGGTGAGACACAGGGGCCCACTGTTTTTCTTCTGCAACTGGCTAGCCATTTTATCCCAGCACCATCTATTGAGAGGAGGGAGTTCTTTCTCCAAAGCTTGTTTGTGTGGTTTTTGTTGAAGATGAAGAAATAGTGTCAACCTGGTGTTTGATGTCCAATGTTCACCAGGCTCCAGGTGGACACCTCTAGAAGTAGATCTTTACAGATGAGAATCTGGAACGGGTTTGCTGACCTGTTTTAGTCGAAATGAATTCCTGACCTTCTTGTCAGGAGGAAACAGAAACCTGATCATCTGTAGTGTACGGTGGTATCGTGATTACTTAAATCATCAAATGTGGTTATTGGGAATGATGTGCTTTTTCAAGTGGTATATGAGAGGTAAAATTGCTATTGTAGTTGACTGTTGCAGTTATAATTTTGTCAACATGGTCTGTAAGAGTGCAATGGAGTCGGCCCGGCGCGGTGGCTCACGCCTGTAATCCCAGTACTTTGGGAGGCCAAGGCGGGCCGATCATGAGGTCAGGAGATCGAGACCATCCTGGCTAACACAGTGAGACCCCGTCTCTACTAAAAATACAAAAAATTAGCCGTGCGTGGCGGCACACGCCTGTAGTCCCAGCTACTCGGGAGGCCGAGGCAGGAGAATGGCGTGAACCTAGGAGGCAGAGCTTGCAGTGAGCCGAGATTGCGCCACTGCACTCCAGCCTGGGCAACAGAGCAAGACTCCATCTCAAAAAAAAAAAAAAAGAGTGCAATGGAAAGCTGGTAGAAAATGGACATTGTTTAAAGACCAAAACAACCACACTACTTTGCTAATCCCTATCAGCTAAAGCCTAGAGAATATATGAGGCATAGATTTACATGGTGTTTGACTAAGGCATGCAGAATATAATCTTGACATAGGCTAAGTTTATCAACATGGATACATAGAGATTCTGAAGTTAAAGTCTTAGCCCAAGAAGTTAGAAGGGGTGCTCAAGTTTGTCTGACAGAAACTGTGAATCCACACTGGCCTGCTTATTTTGAGGTTGTGTTGCCAGAGCTTTCCTAGCATAATAAAGAGAGGTGCATACAAAGGAATAGGAATAGTAGGAGGTGGGGGTAAAAATATCAGGTGTGATCCACATGCCAAGCCGACCCCCACTGTGTCCCACAGGAAGCCCCAGAAGATGTTTCTCTAAGAAATTAAGGATTCGTTTGTTGGGGAGGGCTGCTGGCATGATTGAAAAGTACTGTGACGGCTGAATTTTGTGGGCTTGGGGAGATTGTGGGTTCTCTGATTTCAAGGGGAATGATGTGATCCTAGAGTTGCAAAGAACAAGTGACAGTGGAGGCGCTTATGCTTTGTGATTGCACTAGAGACAAGGAAGACACAACTAGAATAATGGGGAGCAGGAATGGAGCGGCCAACAGAATATCTGACTGTTAGGGATCTTTGATGAAGGCTGATTCTCAGGGAGTGAACTAGATCAGTGACCAACTATTTGTCTTTATATAACTGGGTAATGTGGATGGATTCTAATAAAGGGACTACTTACAGCACAGCAGGAAAGACACAAAGAAACCAGACAGAAGAGTGTAAGTAGTAAGGGGCCAAGCAGTCACCTGACTAGAGAGAGTGCCAGCTTGCCAAGAAGGCACCAGACAGAAGCTGTGATCTTCAGCAAAGGGACACAGTCTGCCTGTGCTGACCCTGCAGGGGCAGAGGTGGGGGATAAACACACTCTTCTCTCACCTGTCTTCTGCCACCCCCTCCATTAGCTGAACCCCAATAAAAGCATGAGGGTAAGGGAGATCTCTGCAGTATCCAATTCAGGTGAGCCTCCTAAGGAACAAAGCAGAACGTAGAAAAATTAAGAATGGGTCTAGGGAATAAAATAGAGATATGCACCGGAGTATGATGATGTGTCTGGGAAAGAATATACAAATACTTTTAAAATTACTAGACAATAAACCTGAGATGACACTAATACAGGTAAATCTCATTTAATGGTAATATATTCCAAGAAATGCATCATTACGTGATTTTGTGGCTGTGCGGACACCATAGAATGTAGTTTATACAAACCTAGACAGTGTAGCCTACTACATACCTAGGCTATATCGTACAGCCTATTGCTCCTGGGCTACACACCTGTGCAGCACGTCACTGTGCTGAATACAGTAGGCCAGTAGTCCCCAACACCCAAGCCATGGACCAGCACCGGTTCGTGTCCTGTTAGGAACTGGGCACAAAGCAGGAGATGAGTGGCTGGCCAGCCGAGCATTACTTCCTGAGCTCCACCTCCTGTCAGATCAGCAGCAGCATTAGACCTTCACAGGAGCGCAAACCCTATTGTGAACTGCACATACAAGGGATCTAGGTTGTGTGCTCCTTATAAGAATCTAACTAGGCTGGGTGCTGTGGCTCACGCCTGTAATCCCAACACTCTGGGAGGCCGAGGCAGGTGGATCACAAGGTCAAGACACTCCTGGCCAACATGCAAACCCCGTCTCTACTAAGAATACAAAAATTAGCTGGGTGTGGTGGCGCATGCCTGTAGTCCCAGCTACTCGGGGGGCTGAGGCAGGAGAATCACTTGAACCCAGGAGGCAGAGGTTGCAGTGAGCCGAGATTGTGCCACTGCACTCCAGCCTGGCGACAGTGGGAGACTCAGTCTAAAAAAAAAAAAAAGAAAAAATAGAATCTAATGCCTGATGATCTGATGATCTGAAGTGGAACAGTTTCAGCCCAAAGCCATCCCCACTCCATGGAAAAATTATCTTTCACAAAACCAGTCCTTGGTGTCAAAACTTTGGGGACCACTGCTGTAGGCAGTTATATCACAATAGTAATATCTAAACATGGAAAAGATACAGTAAAAACATAGTACATTGGGAGACCGAGGCGGGCGGATCACCTGAGGTCAGAAGTTCGAGACCAGCCTGACCAACATGGAGAAACGCCATCTGTACTAAAAATACAAAATTAGCTGGGTGTGCTGGCATGGGCCTGTAATCCCAGCTACTCATTAGGCTGAGGCAGGAGAATCACTTGAACCCCAGAGGCAGAGGTTGCAGTGAGCCAAGATCGTGCCATTGCACTCCAGCCTGGGCAACAAAATAAAACTCCTTCTCAAAAAAAAAGAAAGAAAGAAAAAAATATATATATATTACAAAAGTTAAAGAGAGTGGTACACCAGTATAGGACACCTAGCATGAACAGAGGTTGCAGGACTGGCAGTTGCTCTGATGAGTCAGTGAGTACTTGGTGAGTGAATGCAAAGGCCTAGGATATTACTGTACATAACTATAGACTTTATATGCACTGTACACTTAGGCTACACTAAATGTATTTAAAATTTTTCTTTCTTTAACAAGTTCATCTTAGCTTATCATAACTTTATAAACTTTTAATTTTTTTAACTTTTTGATTCTTATAACACATCTTAAAACAAAAACACATTGAACAGCTGTACAGAAATACTTTATATCCCTATTCGATAAGCTTTATTTATTTTTATTTTTTATGTTTTAAACTTTTTTGTTAAAAACTAAGATACAAACACACACACTAGCTTAGCCCTGTAAGGGTCAGGATAATCAATATCACTGTCTTCCATTTCCAAATCTTGTCCCAGTGAAAGGTCTTCAGGGACTTCAAGGGCAATAACATATATGCAGCTGTCATCTTCTATGATAACAAGGCTTTCTTCTGGAAGAACTCCTGAAAGACCTTCCCGACGCTGTTTTATAGTTAATTATTTTTCATGAGTAGAAGTACTACACTCTAAAATATGAATAAAATGTATAGTATTGTAAATACTGTTGACCCTTGAACAGTGCAAGGGTTAGGGGACCAGCTCCTGTGCAGTTGAAAATCCATATATAACTCTGGGCTATCCCCAAACTTAACTACTAATAGCCTATTCTTAACTGCAAGCTTTGCTGATCAAATAAACAATTAATGCATACTTTGTTAATTATATACTGTATTCTTAAAGAAAGAGAAAAGAAAATTCTATTAAGAAAATCATAAGGAGGAGGAAATATGTTTACTATTCATTAAGTGAAAGTGGATCATCATAAAGGTCTTCGTCTGCATATTCATGTTGAGCAGCCTGAGGAAGAGAAGAGGAGAAGTTGATCCTGTTGTCTCAGGGGTGGGAGAAGCAGAAGGAAATTTGCATATAAGTGAACTTGTGCATTTCAAATCCATGCTGTTCAAGGAGCAACTGTACATAAACTAGTCACATGATCATTTATTATCATTACCAAGTATGACATATGGTACATAATTAGATGTGCTAACCTTTAATGCCACTGACAAATGTAGTGGGTTTGCTTATACCAGCCTCACTGCAAACACATGAGTAATGCGTTGTGCTATGATGTCATCATGGCCACAGTGTTACTAGATGGTAAGAATTTTTCAGCTCTGTTATCTTAAGCGACCACCATTGTATGCAGTGTAGCATTTACCAAAAAACCATTATGCCACACAGGACCATATTTGGGGCTTTTAGTGTCCCCGTCCCCAAGATCCTTCTATTCAAAATGTGAGCTCATGCATGGTTTAAAATTTGTGATGGTGTGCAGTGGACACATGGTGGATTGACATATTTTTTTCTTTACTTTTGAATAGTTGGATTTTTTTTTTTTTCAAGACAGAGTCTCACTCTGTCGCCCAGGCTGGAGTGCAGTGGCGCGATCTCAGTTCACTGCAAGCTCGCAAGCTCTACCTTCTGGGTTCACGCCATTCTCCTGCCTCAGCCTCCTGAGTAGCTGGGACTACAGGTGCCCACCACCAGGCCCAGCTAATTTTTTATTTTTTTAGGCGAGACTGGATTTCACTGTATTAGCCACGATGTTCTTGATCTCCTGACCTCGTGATCCGCCCACCTTGGCCTTCCAAAGTGCTGGGATTACAGGTGTGAGCCACCAAGCCCAGCCGAAGATGACTTCTTAAAATAGACACGAAGTATGAAAATACTTGTAGCCCAAGTAAATTCTTATTAGAGGGAATCCACTGAAGAGGAGTAATCGTATGCATACAATGACATGTTATATAATAGATGTTAGTCAGCTGATACTTGTTCAATGGGCTCATGGACAGATGCACATAATATTAAGGATAGAAGGTATTCACGACTTTACATAATCAAATTGTATCTGGACCAATGTAGAACAACTAAGGCTAATATGACAGCCTTCCCTCAGGGGCTACCCAGTCAACTTGCAGATTGACGACATTGAAACCCATCCCTCAGGGATTTTGTTCTCACTGAAATAGACACTTATTCTGGGTACGAACTCACCCTTTACATTCGCAGTTGTTCTGCTGGTACTACCATGCGTGAACTTTAATTTGTTATTCACCATCATGATATCCCATACAAAATTGTTTTTGACTAAGGAATTCATTTCACTGCAAAAAAAAAAAATATGGTATTAGGCTCATGTTTGTGCAATTCATTGGATTTACAACATAATCCCCATCACCTAGAAGAATCTGACATGATGGAATGGAATCATGTAACTCAGTTAATGCTCCCAGCTGGTAAACAACACATAGTGAGGTTGGGATGTTGTCCTACAGTGTGTGGTATAAACTTAGAGTCAGTGACCACCATGTAGTGTTATTTATCTTACAACAAAAACACATGAATCTGAAAGTCAAGGGGAGGGGGCTCCCTGCACTATTATGCCTAATTTGCACTTGCAGACTTTTTCTTCCCTTTTGTGAAACTTTGGGTTCTCCTCATTTAGAGATATTGATTCCCCAGGGAGGAAACTAACTTCTTTTTTTTTTCTTTAATTTACAAAAGGTAGGCTACGTTTATTAGAGTCACACACAGTTGACTGTCTCAGTGTGACTCAAGACCACAAAAAACCCATTTTTCCTTCACTTCTGAGTCCTGGGGTTAAGACTTAGACCAGCAAGCGTACTGCTTGGGGTGGCTTCACAGGTTTACACGTTTTTCATTGAGGGCAATCTGTGACTGTGTGAGGTTGGCCAGGTAGGCCACCATCAACAGGTCATTGATGTTGCTGTGGAGCATGGTCTCAAAGTCATCGGGAACTATTTTCGGTACTTGGTTAACCAGGCTCATCAGGAAGTGGCCCACCTTCCTGATTGTATTGTCAGCTGACACCTTTGCAGATAGTATATCCTCTGCATATTGCAACACTATGCTCAGGGCATCCTGGATGTGAGCTGATGCCCCTCCTACTTGCTGCAGGTCACTTGAGAGTCCAACCACTCTGTTGGGGCTAAAGCAGGTCTTCATGATCAGGTCAACTCTGATGCATTCAGTGTCATAGTATGCATATTTCACTGTCAAAGGTGTGAACACTCCCACGGTCCTCCCAGGGACACCCATTAAAGTGCTGACATAGGCTTTGATGCTCATATGGCCGTTCTGGAGACTTGTGTCCACAGTGAGGTGGATGGGGTTGGGGGCCTCTCGGCTGTAGTACTCATGGATCAGCACAGAGTGCTCTGTGATGTCATGGCCGGCAGCGTACCACCCCAAGATGAGCTCATTTGGAGAAACTTTTTTATGCAGTTCATACATGTTCTTAGCAAATTCCATGTCAACAACCACTTCATCTGACTCATTGTATGACACTGAAAAGCAATTGGTGACCTCCACAGAGTGTTTGTTGACAGTTCCCAACAGGGTCCCGATAACTCGGGCAGCACCCTTGTTGCGTCTCTCATAGCTGTCCACAGTGGAGGCCAAAAGGACTGGGTGCAGCCTGACCACACGGCCACCAGGGAAGGGCCCTGGAAGAGCAGGACCAGGCAGAGTGGGTGCTGGGGTCTGCACTGGAGCTTGTGCTGAGGCCAGGGTCTGGCTTTAGATGACAGGTTTCATTAAGTGGAAGCTGAAATACCATTTGGGGATATTTAGTTCTTCTTGAAACTAACGGTAAAGAAAACAGCAGACCTATTAACAGGTAATTGATCTAGAGATAGCCAAGGTGAAATTGGGTTTCTCTATTCAGTAGGGGCAGGGAGGACTATGTGTGAAACACAGGATTATCTCAGTCATTCCATGTGTGATAGTACATGAAAGAGATGAGCAGTTGTAGTGCTGTTCACTGTGCAAAAGTATCCCTTCTTCCTAACGTGGGAGGGCTGCTTTTGCAAATATGTCTGTGCTATTTCTCACTGGTCCTGCCTCTTCTGTTCTTGGAATCAAACTCAGTCCATGACAGATCCCACTACTAGCTGAATTTCTTTATTAGACTTTCACAAATGAAATTTTGTATTAGCAACTCAGGGGATTTCTTTAATTTTGCAAAAGTATGTCATCCTAATTTATTATTTTTTCCCTAAGATCTGGCAATGAGCATCGGTTCTCCGCTTCCTTTCTTACCCTGCTTACTCACAGCTGCTTCAGGTGACCTCCTTTTTAGGTTCAGAGTTATGGCTGACTTCTGCTTTAATCAAAACGAATGTATTTTGGTTTCTCATTTTGTTTATTGCTTCTATCTTCAAATTAGAAATCCTAGAGCTCATTAGATTTACTTTTATGTTTATTTTTGAAAGAGCATCCTGCTCTGTCACCCAGGCTGGAATGCAGTGGTACAATGACTGCTCATTGCGGCCTTGACCTCCTGGGCTCAAGTGATTCTCCTGCCTCAGCCTCCCGAGTAGCTGGGATTACAGGCACCTGCCACCACACCTGGCTAATGTTTGTATTTTTAGTAGAGACAGGGTTTCACCATGTTGGCCAGCTGGTCTCAAACTCCTGATCTCAGGTGATCTGCCCACCTTGACCTCCCAAAGTGCTGGGATTACAGGTGTGAGCCACCATGCCCAGCCGATTTTTATGACCATGAATGGGGACAGATTTCTTAAACAGATCACAAAAAGCCATAGTTTTAAGGGAATAAATTGATAAATTAGACTATATTCAAATTAAGAATTTCTGTTTATTAAGAGACACCACTAAGAAAGTGACAAGACAAGTTGCAGAGTGGAAACAGATCTATGAACACATAGAACTGACAGAGGGCTCACATCAACAATATGTAAAGAGCTCTTAAAAATCACTAAGAGAAAGAACAATGGGTAAAACACTTAAACATGTAATTTATAAAAGCAAAACTTGAATGTGTTCAGCTTTCTTAATATTCATGTAAATGCAAATTAACATCACAACAGGATAACATATCCTCCAAAACGGCTAAAATGTAAAAGATAGAACACCAAATGTTGGAGAGAATCTGGAGCAACAAGAACTCTCATCACTGCTGGAGGGGACACTGTGTTTGGCATTGAATAAAGGTTCTAGAAAGGAGCACATTTAGGACTCAGGTATTTCACTCTTAGGATAACAGAAACGCATGCACATCTGCATCAAAAGACATCTATGGAAATGTGTGTGGCATCATTCTCTGTCATTGGAAAAATATCTTGAAACAAAACCCAAATGTGACTTCTGTTTTCCAGCTTGGAAGCTGTCACTCCTGTCCTCACAACAACAACAAAAAACACCTTGAACAAACTGAAAATTAACAACTTTTCTTAGATCCATCAGAGACTTGAGGTTAACAGGGCAAACCGTTATCCCCCAAATTTGAGAGGCAGTGAGTCCCAGCCTAACAGGATCGGAGGCTGGCCACTGAAGCCAGAACCACGGTGGGAAGACTTACATGTAAACAACAAATCGCTGGAGGCTCCATGCACATAAACTTGGGAATTAAGAATTAAGGGAGCCCAGTCTTAGGGGGCCCTACACTTTCATGAACCTCCGAGAGCTCTGCCAGATGCTCTTATGCACATCAGAGAAAAATTCCCTCCTGCTTCCCACAGGGAAGGGGAAAAGTAACTACTTTGAAATACGCCCTGGGTGTTCCGTTCTCCTTAGCAAAAGCCTGCCCCAGGGAAACTATTTCACAAGAGTCTAACCACCTTGGGCTTTAGCAGGGCCTAACACATGTTAGAATAAGAATAAAAATTGCATCAAACTTTTCTTCAGAACCCATGCAAGCAAGCAAGAAAATTCCACCAACCTAAAATTCTGTATTCTGCAAAATTATCTTTCCAAAGTGAAGAAAAAGACTTTCTCAGAGAAACACAAATTTGCTGTCAGTAGATCTGTCAAAATGTTAAAAGAAGTTATCCAGAGAGAAGAAAATGATATAGGCTAAAAACTTGGAACTACATAAAGAAAAAAGGTTTTAGAGAAGGAAGAAAGGGGCTTCCTGCCTCCCTCCTCCATGGGGCACTGGTGCTATGCCCAGCACCCAGATGCCCCTACCCAATGCTGAATAAGAACACAGAGCACCGTGAATGGCTGGCTCTAAAAGGAAAAGTGGAAGACTTGTGTTCTCAACCCACAGCTGCTACTGCTACATTTAAAGACACTGCAGTGAACATTGTAAGTTCTCTGGCTCATGGAGGGAGGAATCTATTCCAAAGACTCTGAGAAAAACTGTAAATTAAACACAAATATGGTGGAAGCTGGTTCCTGAGCTTTATTGATGTTAATAATGCACCTTATTGGCCAGGCACAGTGGCTCATGACTGTGATCCCAGCACTTTGGGAGGCCAAGGTGGGAGGATCACAAGGTCAGAAGATCGAGTCCAGCCTGACCAACATGGTGAAACCCTGTCTCTACTAAAAATACAAAAATTAGCTGGGTGTGGTGGCACGTGCCTGTAATCCCAGGGACTCAGGAAGCTGAGGCAGGAGAATCGCTTGAACCCGGCAGGTGGAGGTTGCTGTGAGCTGAGATGGCACCACTCCACTACAGCCTGGTGACAGAGGAAGACTACCTCTCAAAAAACAAACAAACAAACAAAAAACAAAAACAAAAAAACAAAAAACTGGTCACCTTTTCACCATATACAAAAATTAACTCAGGTTGGATTAAAGATTTAAATTTAAGACCTCAAACTACAATAATCCAAGAAGAAAAACTTCAAAAGTACCATTCTGGATATGGGCTATGGGAAATAATTCATGACTAAGTCTTCAAAAGAAATTGCAACAAAAGCAAAAGTTGACAAATGGGACCTAATTAAACTAAAGAGCTGCCACACAGCAAAGGAAACCATCAGCAGAGTAAACAACCTACAGAATGGGGGAAATTATTCACAAACTATGCATCCAACAAAGGTCTAATATTTAGAATCTATAAGGAACATAATTCAACAAGCAAAACACAACCCCATTTAAAAAGGGGCAAAAGACATAGACACTTCTCAGAAGGAGACATACATGCAGCCAACAACCATGAAAAAAATGCTCATCATCACTAATCATGAGAGAAATGCAAATCAAAACCACAATGAGATATTATCTCACACCAGTCAGAATGGCTATTTTTAAAAAGTCAAAAAAAAAAAATAGCAGATACTGGCAAGGATAAGGAGAAAAGGGAATGCTTATACACCTTTGGTGGGAATGTAAGTTAGTTCAGCCACTGTGGAAAGCAATTTGGAGATTTCTCAAAGATCATAAAACAGAACTAACATTCAACCCAGCAGTCTCATTACCGAATATGTATCCAAAAGAAAACAAATCATTCCACCAAAAAGACATATGCACTTGTATGTTTATTGCAACATTATTCACATTAGCAAAGACATGGGATCAACCTAGGTGCCCATCAACAGTGGACTGGATAAAAATGTGGTACATACAGACCATTGAATACTATGCAGCCACAAAAAAGAATAAAATTATGTTCTATGAGGGAAAATGGATAGAGCTGGAATCCAGGAAGTGAACTAATGCAGTAAAAGAAAACAAACGCCTCATGTTCCTATAAGTAGGAGCTAAATTCTGAGTACCCATGGATATGAAGATGGTGACAATAGACACTAGGGACTGCTAGGAGGGGGAGGGAGGAAGGAAAAGGTTGAAAAACTGCTGAGTACCATGTTCAGTACCTGGGGGTTGGGATCATTCACACCCCAAACCTCAGCACCACACAATACACCCAGGAAAAAACCTGCACGTGTACACCCTGAATCTAACATAAAAGTTGAAAAAGAAAAAACAGAATGGAATCTCTGTTTATTCTCAACGTATCAGTTGTGCCACTCTTCAATTTGAAACTCTCACTATTGGCTATATTTGGGGGTGCCCTATTTCCCATCTCATAACTTATTTTAAGAACCACAGCAAAATAATGTGTGGGCTTGGCATTCAGTTTTTGAAACAAAACACTGAGCCTTCAATGACCTTCCTGTACATGTAAAAGCACACCTGTCTGCATGGCAGCAGTTGGACCTCACAATGTGGATTGTGCCTTCACCCTGGAATGTTTATGCCCTATCGCCATGGTGATGGGATTAGGGATCTCCTGCCCTTGGTCCTAAGTGCCACTGTCTGTGATGAGTTTTTCAAAGGTCAGAGCAGATTGAACCTTTGTGGTTTCATTTTCCCTGATTTTGATTTTTCTTATGGGGAACCTGTGTTGCTGCATTCAAGGTATGTTCATACTGGCCTGTCAAATGCGAACTCTTCAAATTACTAGTTAATGCTTTCAAAATATGTTATTTAAAAAATTATCCTCTGTATTTTCCATATGCAGTTATAAATATGTTTCATGGCTATGTTTTATTCCTCAATTTATATGTTTGATTATTGTACCAAGCAGAGTACCTTTGAAATTTTTCTTCATTTAAAAAATATGTATCTTGGCTAAGGCCTGTAATCCCAGCACTTTGGGAGGCCAAGGCAAGAGGATCACAAGGTGAGAAGATCAAGACCATCCTGGCCAATACAGTGAAACCCTGTCTCTACTAAAAATACAAAAAATTAGCCAGTCATGGTGGCAGCTGGTGTACTCCCAGTGTGGTGTAGTCCCAGCTACCTGGGAGGCTGAGGCAGGACTATCGCTTGAACCCGTGAGGCAGAGGTTGCATTGAGCCAAGATGGCGCCATTGCACTCCAGCCTGTGCAACAGAACAAGACTCTAAAACAAAATTATATATATATGTAATATATAATATATATAATATGTCATAATATATGTAATATATATTATATGTCATATATATGTAATATATATTATATGTCATAATATAATATATGTAATATATATTATGTCATACTATATATTATATATTATATATTATATATCGTAAATAATATATATAATTATATACAATTATATATAATTATATAATTACATATATAATTTTATATATTATTTATAATAATTATATCTATATCATTATATATATTACATATAATTATATATTATTATTTATTATATATAATATATTATATATAATATAAGCATTCAGGATGTAAAAGGAAATTATATATGTGTTATATATGTTATATATATTATATTGTATGTAATTTTATATATATATGGGGTTGCCCTATTTCCCATCTCATAACTTATTTTAACTAGCACAGCATAATAATGTGTGGGCTTCGGATTCAGTTTTTGAAACAAAACACTGAGCCTTCAATGACCTTCCTGTACATGTAAAAGCACTCCTGTCTGCCTGGTAGCAGTTGGACCTCACAATGTGTATTGTGCCTTCACCCTGGAATGTTTATGCCCTATCGCCAAGGTGATGGGATTAGGGATCTCCTGCCCTTGGTCCTAAGTGCCACTGTCTGTGCTGAGTTTTTCAAATGTCAGAGCAAATTGAACCTTTGTGGTTTCATTTTCCTTGATTTTTATTTTTCTTATGGGGAACCTGTGTTGCTGCATTCAAGACATGTTCATACTGGCCTGTCAAATGTGATCATTTCAAATTACTAGTTAATGCTTTCAAAATATGTTATTTAAAAAATTATCCTCTGTATTTTCCATATGCAATTATAAATATGTTTCATGGTCATGTTTTATTCCTCAATTTATATATTTGGTTATTGTACCAAGCAGAGCACCTTTGAAATTTTTCTTCATTTAAAAAATATGTATCTTGGCTAAGGCCTGTAATCCCAGCATTTTGGGAGGCCAAGGCAAGAGGATCACAAGGTGAGGAGATCAAGACCATCCTGGCCAATACAGTGAAACCCTGTCTCTACTAAAAATACAAAAAATTAGCCAGACATGTTGGCAGCTGGTGTAGTCCCAGTGTGGTGAAGTCCCAGCTACCTGGGAGGCTGAGGCAGGACTATCACTTGAACCCGTGAGGCAGAGTTTGCAGTGAGCCAAGATGGCGCCATTGCACTCCAGCCTGTGCCACAGAACAAGACTCTGTCTGCAAAAAAAATATGTATATAATATTTATTATATATACATAATATTTTTCATATATTGTTATATAATATTTTATATATTGTTATATAATATATTATATATCATATATCATATAATATATTATATATCATATATCATATAATATATTATATATCATATATCATATAATATATTATATATCATATATCATATAATATATTATATATCATATATCATATAATATATTATATATCATATATCATATAATATATTATATATCATATATCATATAATATATTATATATCATATATCATATAATATATTATATATTATATATCATATAATATATATTATATATCATATAATATATATTATATATCATATAATATATTATATATAAAATATAGATTATATATAATATATGTCATGATATATATAATTTACATATAATATATATTATATATTATATATGTAATATATAATGTATATTATATAATATATATCATATATAGTTTCATATAATATATATTATATGTCATATATAATATAGATTATTTACATTATATATTACATAATATATTATATTATAATATATTTTATATATTATATTATATATAATTATATATATGTAATTACATTATGTATATATTTATATATATTATACTGATATATATAATTACATATTATGTATTATTATATTCTATATAACATGAGGATGCAGGATGTAAAAGGAAATGATATATATTATATATAATATTATATATATAATATATAAGATGACATATATTTTATATTATATATATAATATATAAGATGACATATATTTTATATTATATGACATATATAATATATAGTATTATATATAATATGTTATATATATTTTATATATAATATGTTATATATATTATATATGTAATATATATAATATATATTCTATATTATATATAATTATATAATATATAATTAATATATATATCATATATATTATATATAATATATAGCATATATATTTCATATATAATATATAATATATATTTGAAACAAAACACTGAGCCTTCAATGACCTTCCTGTACATGTAAAAGCACACCTGTCTGCATGGCAGCAGTTGGACCTCACAATGTGGATTGTGCCTTCACCCTGGAATGTTTATGCCCTATCACCATGGTGATGGGATTAGGGATCTCCTGCCCTTGGTCCTAAGTGCCACTGTCTGTGCTGAGTTTTTCAAAGGTCAGAGCAGATTGAACCTTGTAGTTTCATTTTCCCTGATTTTTATTTTTCTTATGGGGAACCTGTGTTACTGCATTCAAGGTATGTTCATACTGGCCTGTCAAATGCGATCTTTTCAAATTACTAGTTACGTCTTTCAAAATATTTTATTTAAAAATTTATCCTCTGTATTTTCCATATGCAGTTATAAATATGTTTCATGGTTATGTTTTATTCCTCAATTTGTATATTTGATTATTGTACCAAGCAGAGTACCTTTGAAATTTTTCTTCATTTAAAAAATGTGTATCTTTTCTCAGGCCTGTAATCCCAGCTCTTTGGGAGGCCATGGCAAGAGGATCACAAGGTGAGGAGATCAAGACCATCCTGGCCAATACACTGAAACCCTGTCTCTACTAAAAATAGAAATAATTAGCCAGGCATGGTGGCAGCTTTTGTAATCCCAGTGTGAATTGGGATTCAGTTTATTCCCAAATTCCCAAATTATATATATATATGTATTTTATATATATAATTGTATATATAATTATATAATATATAATATAGATATATAATATATATAATATATTATTTATATATTATATATATTGTATAATATATATTATACATATATAATTATATTTATAATATATGTATAATTTCCTTTTACATCCTGCATCCTTCAACGTTCCATCCCCCACCCCACAGATTAATTATTCCCTAGGGGAGAATATGGCAAAGTCTATTTTAATTCAGTTTTTAACCTAATTAAGAACCTATGAAATCATTACTTTCCAAAACTTTGGAACAAAGCCACAGTAGTATGGATGGGTTGGAGGCTTTTCACACCATAAAATGTACCTATCTTTGTTTTTAACATGTTTTTCCCTTCCTCTCTTCTTTTTTTGTGAAATGTGTATTTACTTTAATAAATTTGTAGTAAGTCATTTCCATTCACATATTAATTTTTTAAAGTAATAAGAACGTGTATTGTCTGCGTGTGAAATAAAACTCACATTTATTTTTATGCTTTTGGAGTTATCCAAAATCATGGAATTGTCAATCACAGTCAATCACCCAACCTACTCACCTTTCCAGTGTAATCTTAGTCAAATTTTTTTTTGTTATCCAATGAGATGCAGTATTTCAACTCAGAAAGATAAATAGAATTAATTGGTAGAGACTATTAACTAAGAACATACAGTTTTATTTATACTCAGAAGCAAGTAGATTATGTACATATATATGAAGATTAAAATTAAAAGGATAATTGTGTAAATTTGCCTGTAGAGAGCTTTGAAATCCTGTTTACTTGTTAATGCTGTTTTGATGTATTGTGTGACTTTGTTCTCCCGACCCATCATCCAGAGCTCTCTGCAGGAGCTAAGTGCTCATCAGTTCCATGACTTGGCAACTGTCTAAGTTTAGAGGCACTTGTATTTGTTAGTAAATAAGGCAAGATGATATTGTTTCACAGGTTTTAGTGCAGAAGACTGAATAGATAAGCTGCTCCACCCAGTACACTGGTGTTCATTTCATGGTCATCTCATCTGTTAACCATGGATAAAAAACACTTATCTTCAATGATCTTCCTGTACATGTAAAAACACACCTGTCTACATGGCAGCAGTTGGACCTCACAACGTGGATTGTGCCTTCACCCTGGAATGTCTATGATGCCCTATCGACCATGGTGATGGGATTAGGGATCTCTTGCCCTTTGCTCTGCCACTGTCTGCACCAGCCAGGCCACTGGGCCATTGTGGCAGATGGTGATGCCCTTTGTGTGGAGCGCACTGTGTGTGCGCTGAGGCAGACACAGTACTTTTGACAACTTTATCTGCTTCTTTCAAAACTGGGTCTGCATTATGATAAAGTGGTTGGTTTTAGGCCAAGCAGGTGCATGTCATAGAACAATGACTTGGGAGTTCAGAATCCTGGGCGTGAATAAGCCTCTGAGCCTTATTAAGCTGTGAAATCTAAAGCAAGACATTTCCCTGATAATTAAGCCTCATGAGCACTTATACTGTACACTTTACCTACATCAAATCATTCGGCCATCACCACAGACAAATGGCATGATTGATTTACTATCACCTTTTACTGGGCAGAAAAAGACAGAGATGAATGTGCCCAAGCTTATTAGCCCCTCAGCAAAAGAGCCAAGATGGGAACCCAAGCATACAGCCCCAATGCTGAGGCTCTGAACTACTGACCTGCCCTCAGCACTCAGCCTTGGGATCATGAGTCACTGTGCAAGGGAGTCCCAACATCTGCATGTATGTCTGGAATGATCTGAGCCTGTAGAGTTCCTACACACTGGCCACATTATAGGGTGGTGTCTGTGGTCACACAGCTCAGGGCAGGTATTAGTACATGAATAGCTTAGCGGTGTCATAGTCTTTATGTGAAAGGCTCATAAAAGCCCAAATGCTTTTGAACTGGTTGCGGATTTTGAGTTGGAGGAACACTTGGGACAACCGGTCACATTCCTTCAGTGCGCGGCCACTCCTCAGCACATATCCCAAAGCCGGTAAATAATGGGAAGACCCTGTACTGATGTTTGATGGTGTTATGAACTTCAAATGACCCCTATAGAAATGTTAAAAAAAAAAAAAGTCTGTGAGCTACACAACCTGGGGACAAGACAAGAACACAAAATACCACTAAATAATGAGCCTCATGTGTCACCCTGCTTGCAACTCCCTTGGCAGCTGGTTTCAAGAGCCTCAGTGCTCACCAGGGCCCATCTCCCTGCTCTGCCCTCTCTCGCTGTGGGTTGCCTGGGCTGAACATGGGCAGCCCCTCACACGATGACTGCAAACACAGGGCAAAGGAAGACTGAACGGAAAATGTATGGTTATAGTGGTTATTTTAAAATATAAGTATTTCAGTATTTTCTAATCTTTAATTATTATTTTTAGGGGAGGTTTTTTTTTTTTTGAGACAGAGTCTTGCCCAGGCTGGAGTGCAGTGGCATGATCTCAGCTCACTGCAACCTCTGCCTCCTGTGTTCAAGCGATTCTCCTGCCTCAGCCTCCCAAGTAGCTGGGACTACAGGCACGTGCCACCACGCCTGGCAAAGTTTTTGTGTTTTTAGTAGAGATGGGGTTTCATTCTGTTAGCCAGGATGGTCTCAATCTTCTGTCCTCATGATCCACCCACCTCAGCCTCCCAAAGTGCTGGGATTACAGGCGTGAGCCACCACACCTGGCCTGATTTTTTATTTTTTATTTTTTTGAGATGAAGTCTCTGTCACCCAGGCTGGAGTGCAGTGGTGCAATCTCAGCTCACTGCAATCTCTGCCTCCAGGTTCAAGGGATTCTCCTGCCTCAGCCTCCTGAGTAGCTGGGTTTTTTTTTTTTTTTTTTTTTTTTTTTTTTTAGTTGAGATGGGGTTTTACCATGTTGGTCAGGCTGGTCTCGAACTCCTGACCTCAAATGATCCGCCCACCTCCACCTTCCAAACTGCTGGGATTACAGGTGTGAGCCACTATGCCTGACTATTTTCATAACCAAGAAAAGAAATAAGTACAATTAATGCTGGTGCATGGTATTAAATCTAGTTTTTAAAAAATTCACACATAAACAAGGCAGAACCCTATACCCTCCATGATAAATGCAGTAGCAGTGTATGTGGGTCTGTGGAGGTTGAAAGGGACTTGGTAGATGTCAAGAAGGTAGTGGCAGTCTTGCTGGGCTTTTAAAGGGTCTGAAGAAGTGACAGGATGCTGTGGTTGAATCCTAGCATGTATTTTAGCATTTGTTCATTTGGAGTTTGATTATTTCACGTTGCTTTCATTTGCCATTACCTGGAAAGCCAAGGGCTCTACTCTCATTTCCTTGCTCCTGTTTCTTTGCCTTCCTTGGTCCGTGAAGAAGATGGTCCAGGAGAAGCTCATTCCATGCTTGTTAACCAGGCACACCCCTAAGTTCCAGTCCCTGAGTCATTCATGAGTAGCACTGCCAATGAACTGACAGCCATGCTGTGTCCCTCCACATCCCCTAGGTGACTCGAAGAATTCTTCCAAAAAGCGTGTGAAAAGGGAGCCCTACTCTACTACCAAGGTAAAGCAGCCTGTCTTTGCCTAAGATGTAAATGTTGTTTTCTTGGATCCTTTATTTTTCGGTTGATATCAGCTATGGGAAAATTATCCACTACATTATAGATGTTAGATAATATTTCCTTGGGGATGGAGGAGGTGTATTTTACCAACTGACACCTGATTCCAGAGGACGTGCAAAATTGGCAGTGTCAGATAATACACTGCGTGTTAAGGGATGTTTTCTTCAGGAACAAGCTTTCCACTTTAGATAAGAATTCTTCAATTGCTACTCAAAAATTACCTAGACAGAAACATTCTTCAAGAAAAGCTCCTGTGCTTTCCTAAGGGAACTCTACTCTAGAGTTGGGGCTTTTGACTTGAACCTTATTTCCAATCTTGGTTACCCAGAGTTTCCAAGTGAACAAAAGACCTGTGTGAGCCATCCATAGCATAGCCTGATTCTCAGAGTGTTTTCCTTCTCTAATTACAGGTGACTTCAGGGAGCACATTCAATGGTACGTATTCTGGAATCACTCACTGGTTGTTAGAAAAGGATTCTACAGGAAATCTGGAGCTTAACTGCTGGCTTTTGTCTGGAGAGCCTCCATGATCCAAGATATCTTGTGGGAATGAGGATGTGGGGTATAGTAAAAGAAACTGGTTTTCCAGGTGACATACTCTTTTTATCTATTTATAGTTTCTGGGAACGTGTTCACATTAGGTTGTGTGTGGTTATGTGTGTATTAGGGCGGGGGTGGGGTGAGGTGGTCTGTGTGCAAGTCTGCATGATTTGCTTGTGAATGTGTGTCTATGTGTGTTTTCCCTAGGAAAAAAATGTTGTGTTTACCCAGCACAACTCTCAGTGCCATTTTTCTTAATTTAACAAGTCAGACCACATACTTTACTTACATTAGTTCACACCTCATCATCATCATGCCCATATGTTGTGAGCTTGTTTATTGAGCCCACATGCCAGATGGAGAAACTAAGCCACATAAATAAATGTGCCCTGGTTCACTTGCTGCATAGTGAAGAGTCAAAATGTTTACTCATATGGTGCTAATGTTGAAGGCCTGAACTACAACCTCTATTTATCAGCCAGTGAAGAGATCACTATTCACCATGCAAGGGAGTTCCAGCACCCTCTATGCCTGGAATTACCCACGCCTGCAGAGATCCCAAACGCCACCCCTCACATAAGAGAGCCTCATGATCTCATAATCCAGGTAGCTATGTAGACACCTTCCTGCAGGTGTCACATAGTCCTTTGTGTGAAACCAACATAGAAAGCCCATGTTTCTGATCAAATCACAGGTTCTGAAACACTAAGGGAGGCACTAAGTAGGACAACGTGGTGCCTGCGTGTCATAGCTGGGTCTCCTCAAGACATGGATCAAGTCCAGTAAGAATTGGGGAGACGCTTTAGAGTCTTGATGGAGTTATCACCACAAGCCCTCTGAGCTACACACATTAGGGATCATGACCATTAAGTACTCAAATTACCATTTGGTTGTTATCCGGGTATCTGTCGTCCTTGTGGCAACCCTCTTGTGAAGCTGGTGTGGACAGCCTCAGTGCTGGAGCTGTGCCTCCCTTCTGAGTGGACCCTTTCTGTGTTAGCAGGTGGGTACAAGCGTGGGGGTCAGCACACTCAGTGGATTTACACACACAGCATTAAAGAGTAAGGCTGCGCTTTGTTTATACATTTTCAATAAATGATGATCTTCATAACATAAAATCAATGATGTAGTACACTAGAATACTGTCCCTAGTATTGAATCTTGTCTCTCAACAAAGGGTTGCTTAAAGTCACATGACAGATTCCATTCAACTGATGACACATGCTGTAGCAGCAGTTAAAGCAGTCATTTGAAAAGGCTTTTACTATAAACTTATGTGTGAGCCTGAAGTGGGGGATAAAAGAGGTGATTAGCTACCCTGTGCCATGTTTCTATTATGTGTGTGGTGGAGGAAAATTACACAGGAAGGTGATGGAGAGAACAGAGCAAAGGATTGGACAGGTCCATTGAACCCATAAGACTATGTTGAGGTTAGTGAATGAGACTGGTCATTTTAGGTCAAATTTTACCCAGAGCTGGTGCAACCACTGCCCATTCTTAGCCAGACCTTATTGCAGGTAGCTCTGATCAATAGTCAAGGAGGCAGTGGGGGTTGCAGACTTAATTCATTAAATCACCAAAGCACCAGCCCACATGGCCACTTTTCCAGTTAATTCACAGTAGCTTGCATATTCAGGTTTGATCATTGGAAGCGAAGTTACTCTTTGCAGACCCATCTTTTGACAATCATTTTGCAGTGTCAGAAGGTCTGAGCAGCCTCGGGAGGCAAGCAGTCCCTGGTCCCTCAGTGTAGTCACTGGAGGAGACAGTCACTGAGAGGCAGCTGGCAGGGTGAAGGGAAAGGGGAGGCAGGCCACAGAGATGACAGCCTTTAAGCTGTCATACTGGGGAAGTCAAGGATCTGAAAGAGGAAGGAGAATTCTTTATCATTAAGGACCTGTCCTTATCTCAGGCATTTCCTCCAGAGCATCACCTTTGTCCACCCACACACCTTGGGCTAGGAGGACTGGGGAAAGACAGTGAAGGGCCTCTTGGGTCTCTGGCACAGGGCGTGATGAAGAGGTGGCAGTTTTTCAGGAAACTCTCTCTCTAGGGAACCAAATACATTTCCCATCTCAGGTCCTTCACTCAGCGGGGTTGAGGTTCTGCTCGTCACTTATCATCTCTGAATGTCAGCACCCTCAAGTGTAAAATCTCAGCCACAGCCCCTCCTCTGCACCCCCTGCAGGGCTGATGTTCTCCATAAACCATAAGGCATCATGCCCACGGAAAAGCTGAACAGGAAAGCATGCTCCACTGCCCCGGAGCCATCCAAGTTCCCCCTCCATATTCCACCACTGCTAAGTGTCCAGCTTATTCCTCCTGGCATGTAGTAAACACTTAGAGAACATTACTGAAGTACCAGTCCTCTCTAAGGTTTTCCTGTATTTAGTGATTTTTTAGCCCCGTACTGTGATACTAAGAAGTAGGGCCTAAATAGGGCCTAAAAAGTATTGCTAAAATTACATTATGACAGTGCAGAGAACTGAGGGCAGAGGGAGGACATGAGATTTCTAGGTCCACATGGCTTAGTGGAATTTGAATCCGGGCCCCCACTCTGCACCAGCCCTGCACTCACAGTCATCCTGCTGTGTTCTCCTCTCCAGGAAGGCACTGCCCACACAGTCTGTCTGATAGAGGTGTTGAGTGCTCACTGAACTCCGTGATCTTCCTGAAACCCAACTTTGATTCAGTGGGCTCTGCTTGGAAGCCTGTAAAGAAAAACATCATAAGTTTAAACTTAGAACAGATTATCACTGTTTTCCCTCTGGTCTTCAGTCAGCAAGATGTCAACAGCCCTATCTATTGTAAATGCGTTAACCAGCATCTTCTCTGATAGAGAATACAAGAAGATATGCTGTGCACACCAACCAGTGTCGGAGACCTCATGGCTCCCCGGTAAAGAAGAAGATGTACCCACAAGAAGGTACTGTGGAAGTTCATTAATTAAGTTGCTTCAAGAATTGCAATTGCGGGGAGTATTCAGTGTCCCATATGTAAGAGGAAACTATGAAGAGACTAAGCCATATTTTTTAATGTGTCAGGATTCTAATTTGCCTGGTCAGTAAATATTGCTACAACCACAAAAGTAAATATCTACTTAAAAGTCAATTGTGGTTCATGTTTAATGATAGACAATGTTTCAAGCTAATGTCTAGAACTTACCTGGTTGTTAAACATAAGCATAGATCTCCCTGAAAGAGTGGTGCTATATTATTATTTTTCAATTAATATATTTCTTTAGAGAGTTTTAAATTGACATAAAAACTGAGCATATGGCCAGGCGTGGTGGCTCACGCTTATAAACCCAGCACTTTAGGAGGCCAAGGCAGGCGGATCATCTGAGGTCAGGAGTTGGAGACCAGCCTGGCCAACATGGTGAAACCCCATCTCTACTAAAAATACAAAAAAATTAGCCCGGTATGGTGGCAGGCGCCTGTAATCCCAGCTACTCAGGAGGCTGAGGCAGGAGAATCGCTTGAACCCGGGAGGCAGAGGTTGCAGTGAGCCAAGATCATGCCATTGCACTCCAGCCTGGGTGACAAGAGTGAAACTCCATCTCAAAATAAATAAATAAATAAATAAATAAATAAATAAATAAAAATTGAGTATATAATACACGAAGTTCCCATATTATTCTGTCTCCTCATCCTCACTTCCTAATTTCACCTATTAGTAACATCTTACATTACTGTGGTACATTTGCTAGAATAATGAGAAAATATTGATACATTATTATCTAAAGTCTACATTTGCATAATGTTCATTCTTTCTGTTATACATATATATGAATTTTGAAATATTTAAAACATTATGTTCACCCTTATGGTCTCATAAAGAAAATGTTCACTTCCCTAAAAATCCTCTCTTCTCATTAATCTCTGTCCTCTTTCTCCAGAAACCATGGCAACTATTAACATTTTTACTATCGCTTCAACTTTGCCTTTTCCAGAATGTCGTATAGTTGGAATCATATATTATGTAGTTTTTTCAGATGAATTTATTGCACTAAATTGATGTACGCTTTAGCTGCTTTCATGTCTTTTTTATGCCTTAATGGCAAAAAATGGCACATTAAATCACCAAATAATATTGCATTAAATGAATTTTTGTCTTTTTATTCGCCTGTTGAAGAATTCGGTAGATTTCATGAGAGAAACCATCTGGGCCTGGTGCTTTCTTTTTCGGAATGCTCTTAATGTGAATTCAACTTATTTAATAGACATAAGTTTATTCACATTAGGATTCTAGCGTGACCTTGGGAAGATTGCCTTTCAAGGAATTGATAAATTTCACTGAGGTTATCAAACTGCGGTCATAGAACTGTTCATAATATTCCTTTTAATGCCTAACAGTTCAGTAGAGATGGCTCCTCTTTTATTTCTGAAATTGGTCATTTGTGTTATCTTCTTTTTCTTGGTTAGCCTGCATATCAATTCATTCATTGTAATGAGCATATCAAAGAACCAGCTTTTGGTTTTATTGATTTTCTGATGATTTCAGTGTTTTAATTTTATTGATTTCTGTGATGTTGTTTATTACTTTTACTTGCTTTCCATTGCATTCCTCTATTTTCTACAGTTCCCTAATTGAAACATGATATTACTGATTTTAGATCTTGTGATTTTTAGTATATTACATCCAATGCTATAGATTTCCCTCTAAGGACTGCTTTTGCTACATCCAGAAATCTTGCCAAGTCACATTTTCTTTTAATGTAGTTAAAAGTATTTTTAATTTTCTATTGAGACTTCTTCTTTAACCCATGAGTTATTTAAAACTGCATTGCTAATTTGCAAATATTTGGGGATTTTGTGGCTCTTTTACAGTTGTTGATTTTTTGTTGTCAGGTATGTGTTGCAAAAGCAGTCATCTACCTCATCTTGCCACCACCCAAGATGGCCCAGGATGTGGGCTCTCCCTGAGTGAATCTTTGGCAATCTGCCAACCTGATGTGGTCGGCCTCCTTCTTTAGTCTGAGCTTGTCTTCTGCTTAGAAAGGGCCATTCTCAGTTCTGGCAGGGAGTTTTCCCAACATTGAGAAGGTGGCATTCTTACTCCCCAGTGCAGCCTGCACCTCTGACCGGTGGTCAGCAGACAGGACAGAGGTCCTCATTAGACAGAGTTCAGCGGGGTCTCTGACCAAAGGGCATCTTCAGAGTCTGCACCTACCCACTGTGACCATGGGCAGGCTCTGAGTCCTAAAGCAGGAGGAACCGTGCGACCATCCTGATTGGAAATTTGTGAGGATCACCATGTTACTCAAGTAAGGTCTTTGGAAAGTGTCGTATTACTACTGTTTGTGAACTTCTTGTTGGTGGCCTGGCTGAGCCACACACTTTATGAAAACCAGGACCCCTCAGCTGGTGTGGGTGTCTATGCAGCCTGAGACCCTCATGTGAACAGCCTCGTGGTAGCTGTCTTTGCCCCTTGCCACCATCAGTGCCTCCTTGTTCCTGGGCACTGCTTTCTCTGATGGTGCTCCATTGTTTTCCTGCACCTCAGTGTCTACAGCTGGATGTCTCTTCTGCAATCTAGGTGAGGGGGCATCAATAACAGTTCTGCTGTGGCACTGCCCTCCTTCTTAGCTTGTCTTGCTCCGTCTTAGGCTCCCTCAAAGATCCCACCCTTCAGGTTCTTCCACAAGTTTCTTATTGAAATCCGAGCAGAAAACTATGACCAATATGACCAATCGTATACCCACTGAAGACATGAATGTAGAATTAAAACAATTCTCCATGGACTCTACCATATAGATCCCTAGAAGTAATTTCTAAAAAAAAAAAAAAATCAAGGAAGATGTAATAGTTTTCCATAAATTAGAATACCCTACATGTACAATTAAATGAAATGGCTAGTATAGTCTTGAAACCAAAACCAGATAAGGTAAATTAAATTCTGTGATATTTTAAAATACTGTAAATTCTGACTAATGTGAGTTAATCTCAAAATATGAAATAGTAGATTAACATTGAAAATGCAATAAATAAAATTAGCTACCTCAAGAGTTTAATGGAAAAAAATGTGATTATTGCAATAGATTCAGGAAATTCGTGAATAACATTCACCCTATATTTGTAGGACAACTATCTGATTAAGTGACCTGTGACAACCATTTGAATTAATGCTGCTTTCACAGCATATCTCTTGGCTTGTTAAAAACCCGACAAGAATTTCCATAACATTAATTTATTTTTAACACCTATATTGGGTGTGAACCCACCATAAAGTTTGCCCACTGAAAAGGTCTGCAATTTGATGCTTTATTAAATTGATACTGTGTGCACCCAACACCACGATCTAATTTAAATATGTTTCCCTCACCCAAGTTCTCTCTTGTGCACTGGCAGTTAATCCCCACTCCCATCTCCAGCCCTAAGCAATACTGCTGTGACATTCCATCTCCATAAATTTCCCACTTGCTTTATAGAAATGGACATATATATATATTTGGAATCTGACTTCCTTCATTTAGCATACTATGTTTGAAGTTAATTGACGTGTTAGCACGTGCTGGTCATGTGTTTTCCTTCATAGTCTGCTGTGTTTATTCATACAGATAGTGTTTATTCATTTATCAGTTAATGGACATTTAATTATTTTGTTTTTTTCTTTGATGAGTAATGTAGCTTTGAGCATTCATATACAGTCATGTAATGCATAATGACATTTTGGTCAAAAAAAATTTTTTTTTTTTCTGAGACCCAGGCTGGAGTGCAGTGGCACAATCTCAGCTCACTGGAACCTCCACCTCCCAGGTTTAAGCAATTCTCATGCCTCAACCTCCCGAGTAGCTGGGACAACTGGCACACACCACCACGCATGGATAATTTTTGTATTTTCAGTAGAGACAGGATTTTGCTGTGTTGGTCAGGCTAGTCTCAAACTCCTAGCCTCAGGTGATCCGCCCACCTCTGCCTCTCAAAGTGCTGGGATTATAGGCATGAGCCACCACACCCAGCCTAATTTTTTTAAGAAACGAGAACTATTTTCTAAATTACTTTTGCCAATTTATATTCCTACCATGATGCATAGTACTAATTTCACTGTACAATGTATGGTAGGCCCCAATATGTAAGAAATGATGAAAGTAACACATAAAGATTAGTATAAAACAAATGAGATTATCATTGTTGCTATCATCTTTGTCAAATTCTGAAAACAATCTGAGTATATTTTTATATAAATATGCTTGGCAACATAGCTGAAAAAAGCATTATCAGTTACATTTATCAGTAACAAAGACATAAATTTGAAGGGGGAAAAACACTTGTACTAACAACGCAATGTCAGAATTAACATAAAAATTCTGCTGGTCACTTTGGAATATTTAATTGCCTGGGGCAGTGTTTAGTAGACAAATGAGCAACTATGGAGCACCCAAAGTAGGGGAATCAACAGAACTTGGGTTTCAAAAGTTATCTGGGTTTAGAGCGTGAAACTTTGTTAGAGGACACACACCTTGCATGAGCGAGGTGACTTGGTGTGTGTGGACGTGTTGGAGGCACAGCATAATGGTGGCTTCCTCCAGAAAGGGACATTTGGGGTGGATTCATTCCATCTAGACAACACAGCCTGATGTGGCATGGACATGAATGGAGGTGAAATGGTCAGTAGTTGAGAGGATCAGTCCTGACAAGGGCCGAAGTGAAAAACCTGGGAACCCCTTCAGGTGCAAAGTCTTCAGTTGAAAAAGGAGGTGGTCACAGGAAATACTGAGACGGGTCAGCAATGCATGGGAGACAGAGTTCTTGGCCCTGCAGGGTGAGTAGTGTGGATTCTCAAGTTTTCTCCTCTCTCCATTAATTTCTTTCCCAATGCAGATGACTTCCATCATACAATCTTCAGCAACCTTGAAAGATTGGACAAGCTTCAGCCCACTCTTGAAGGTAAAGGAAGGCAGCTAACAAGACTGGCATCTGGGCTTGGCTGTGCATGTTTGCTATCTTGGAGAAATATATATAACACAATATTTATCATTTGAACCTTTTAACCAAAGTGTGCACTCCGTGGCATTCAATATATTCACAGGGTTGCATAACCAACACCACTATCTACACCCACAATTTTGATGATTTCTTACAAAACCTTGTCCACAATAAGCAATATAGCGCCTTCCCCCTATTTCCAGCCCATGGTGATTCCTATCCACTTTCTCTTGTATGAATTTGACTATTCTAGGCACTTCATGTAAGTACAATTATACAATATATTCCTTTTGTGTCTGGCTTATTTCACTAAGCATAATGTTCTCAATGTCCACCCATGTTGTATCATCTACCAAAATTATGTTCGTTTTTTACAGATGGATGATGTAGCATTGCATGTAGACCACCTTGCTTTTATTACATTCATTTGTTCACTGATGGTTGGATTATTTCCACCTTTTGCCTCCTGTGAAAAGTGATGCTATAAACATTAGTATACAAGCATCTGTTTGATTTCTGTTCTCTATTGTTTGGGGTGCCTAAGAGTAGAGTTCCTGGGTCTAACGGGAGTTCTACATTTAACCTTCTGAGCCACTGCAGACTGTTTCTCACAGTGGCTGCAACTTTATCCATTTCTACCATCAATGTATCAGGGTTACAATTTCTTTACATCCTTGTTCACACTTATTTTCCTTTAAATCATCCTAGTAGGTGTATATTGGTGTCTGCTTGTGTTTTTCATTTGCATTTCCCTAATGACTAATGATCCTGAGCAGCTTTTCCTGTGCTACTATCTGTGGCTATATCTTCTTTAGGGAAATATATGTTGAAGTCTTTTGCCCATTTTTAAAGAGTTGTCTGATTTTTATTTAGTTAGTTTGTTGTTGTAGATTTTTGAATATATCTTAAATATATTTAAAATATATTCTAAATTTTAGTCTCTTACAAGATAAATGATTTGCAAATATTTCCCCCTTTGTGTAGAACTTTAGATTCACAAACTTCATTAATTTGTAAGAAATCCTCAGCAGTTGACCCCAAACAGATAAGACTGAAGCAGTATCTTAGGAATAGTTGAAAGTATGATCACCACAAAACATAAGCGTAATCAAATCCTGCAAGCTACATGTAAGGCACAATGACAAATAAGGCAGCAAAGGGCCATCTGGTGATTAGTTCACCACACTTGTTGCAACTGTTTGTGCTGCAGAATTAAAACATACCAGCATTCAACCCATGTCTCCTCTCTTGAAGTAAACTGTCGTATGTTGGCTGGCCTGAACAAGCGTAGATATTCTCCATCCTCAATTAATATGCATGCATGACAAAGAAAAGGAGGCCGGGATGAAAAAATATTGTGTGATTAATAATTATGCTTTAATTAATTTTAAAGGATATAATTTCAGTACTTCTAATTCTCCCATCAGCAGTTATAACAAAGGATTAGTGAATAAATACCATAGACTGTTTTGCCTAGAATTGAATCCAATCTGTCTATTAAACTTTGCTTTTATTCAAGTGCAAAATGCTAAAACACATAATAACTACAGTGACAGCCACTGTGGATCCTCAGAGGCAAAATTAGTCTTGGGACATAAATCCTGCAAGCTAATATTGTTTTTACAGGGTTTAGAAAACCATTTAGCTGGGTTTCAAACCTCACAGTGTGAGCAGTGGGACTCTCATCAAACTATAGCATGTGCTTCAGTACCATTTGTAGACTGACTCATTCCCATTGCCTTAAGTTGCCATCAGCAAAATGCCAGGGACTCTATTTCTTGCTCCTTAGCTCCTCGTTCTTGCTTGTCTTTCCACGAGGGAAGATTTTCTAGCAGGAGCTCAAGCTGTGCTTTTAATGAAACACATCCACACACACTGTCCTGTTGTCCACATTAAGCAGAGCTCCCTGAATAACTCATGAACAAAAGCATCTATGACTAACTGTTGCTGTGTGTCCTCCTAGCCTCTGAGGAGTCTCTAGTTCACAAGGACAGAGGAGATGGAGAGAGGCCAGTCAACGTGAGGGTAAGGTTGCCTTGCTTTCTCTGAAATAGAAATGTTCCTTTCTTGGTGTCTTTCTTTTTCAACTGACTTTACATGTGAAAAAATGACAATGTCCATGACAGGTATTAAATGCAGTTTTCTGAGGGGGAGGAAGAAGTGACTCTTAGCAACTGATATGTAATCCAAAATGGCATTTAGCTATGACGGCTTCAGGTTGTAGACTGTATCCTTGGGATCCTTGTCCTTGGAAGCAATGTCTTCTCCTTGGATTCAGTATTTTGCACTTGCCAACCTACGTGGACCTGAGAGATACACCATCCAGAAGCTGATGTCTTTTCCAGTGTGTATCCTACCCTTGTCTTGGAGGCCTTGAAGTTGACTACACTTTCTGATCAAGTTTTCAGTATTCATTGAGAGAAACAGAGCCTTGTGCAAACAATCCACAACATGACATACCCCTCAAAAAGTTTTGTTTCTGTATTGCAGGTGGTGCAGGTGGCCCCTCTGAGGCGTGAATCTAGTAAGTATTCTGGAATCACTTGCCAAGAAAACAATCTGGATGCCAAGAAAGGTGTGGCATCCTTGCCTGGTTTCAATGTGAAGAGCCACCCTGATCCTGGGATTGTGATAGGAATAAGTATAGGGGAAGTGTTTTTTTAAAACCTGAATTCCCCAGGGAAAAATTATGGCCAAATTTTGAGGAAGCAGCTGTGCTCCCTTTTGGGTGGTGCTGAGTTGGGTGCTTGAGGATTGGTGGTGTCTTGTTTGAGGCTGCATCGTGTGGTGTGAATGTGTGTGTTTCTGTACAGGTGAGGCTGTGTGTTTTCTCAGGAGAGATTTCCCACTTATACAACCCAATCACCAGTGTCCACTTCTAACAATAAAATCCACCCCCGCTCTACTCTCTCTGTACAGTGACTCCTCTACCCTCACCAGAGCCATCCCCGGGTCTGCCTTATTATCCCGACTACTCAGGTGGAGAACCTGAAGGGCCAAGGGAGTGGCCCCAGCTCCTGAGTTCCTGAATGAAAAAGTGAAAACACGAACCCAGGAGTGTGGGCCAGTGCTGACACTGACATGCACTTAGTCATGGAGTGTTCACCACCACACAGGGAGTTCAGCATTCATCTATAAGCCCTAAAGCACCGAGCCCAAAAGGCCCCAGACACTGCCCATCATCATAAAGTGGCCTCTGTGGTCACACAACCCAGGGCAGTTATAGGCTCATCTCCCCACGGACAGGCATAGTCATCAGTGTGTCAAAAGCACAAAGATCCCCAGGTGTTTTGCTCAGCTCACAGATCTTTTTTTTTTAACTTTTAAGTTCAGGGGTACATGTGCAGGATGTGCAGGTTTGCTACATATAGAAATGTGTGTCATGAGAGTTTGTTGTACAGATTATTGCATCACCCATACATTGAGCCTAATATCAGCTATTTTTCCTGATCCTCCCCCTCCTCCCACCTCCCACCCTCCAGTGGGCCCCACGCTCACAAATTCTAAGAGGAGTGGGGGACCACAAATGCCAGTGTGGCCCACTTCAGTTGTGAAGTTAATTTGCTCAGCAGCTGGCCAAAGCCTGTAAGGATGGGTGATGTATTTTAGTAGATTTAGTAATACTATCTTCCCAAGCCCTAAAATGCTCAAAACCTGCCAGCCAAAAATGGTGAGGAGGGACAGATAGGAACTCTGTGTGGCACTTGGTTATTAGCCTGGCTTCCATCCCTTAGTGGCAACTCTCTTGTATATGTGGGTTAAAGACCCTCAGCCTCAAGCCAAGCCTCCTCCATGAGGAGCCATCTCACTATTGACTGGCTAGTGCCGGGTATGGCCACCAGCCCAACTGAAACAAAATGTTGCTTTAAAACAAGTGTAAATCTCATACAACAGGCAAATGCAGAAGCAATGTGGTCTCGCAAGTTGTAAAGAGGACAGTCGCAATTTTGCTGGACTTCAACCTGGGTAGAAGACATGAGGGAACTCTGTCACTGAATCACGGCAGAGTTCAAGGCCACTTGTAGACTATTTCATGTTACAGAAGGTAGCCTTTAGCTACTAAGCAAAGGCCTCGGTTTCTCATTTCTTTCCTGTTCATCTTCTTGGTCATCCTTCTTCCGCAAGGGAAACGAGCCCAAGCAAAAGGCAGTTTCAATATTAATTTGACCGAGGTTTTGTGCAGTTTATTATCATCCAGGTAATCAGGTGCAACCCAGTCTGCCTAGCAGCCCCCCTCTCTCTGCTCTGTGTTTTCATTTAATAAACATTTTGGTCTACTTACTATGTGCTAGATTTTCTCGAGACCAAGTAAATGAGATAGAATCTTTATGTTGGCAGCTAAGTTAGATTTAACATAACTGACAAAAATTAAAATTTCTGATTTCTTGTAAAAATTGTATGTGTGAATGCATACTGAAAGTAAAGTGGTTAACAAAAAAAATCACACTTGCACTCATGGAAGGCTTTTCATGAATTTGTCAATTTCTATTTTTTTATATTTCCCCACTTCACTGGATAATGCATATCTGAACCTGGAAACTGATTCCCACTGTAGAAAGTGTTCTGAGCCACATCCCTTAGCTTCACTAGTGCAGGTCCACCTGGGAGTATGTCCCAGCATCAGCTTGGCCCATGCTGTGATAAGCCACCTCCATGCACCACACCAAGCAAGCCCCTGGGTGATTCACAGTCTCCACCACCAGGGCACTGACCTTTATTCTGTGTTCTTCAAGCTCCCCATGGGGACACCATCCACGACATCACGAACGAGGACGCCGTCCACGACACCACCGACGAGGACGCCGTCCATGGCACCGCCGACGAGGACGCCGTCCAGGGCATCGCCGACGAGGACGCCGTCCACGGCATCGCTGACTGGGACGCCATCCAGGGCCTCGCTGACAGGGACGCCGTCCACGGCTTCGCTGATGGGGACGCCGTCAAGGGCATCGCTGACGGGGACGCCACCCAGGGCATCGCTGAAGGGGACGACGTCCATGGCATCGCTGATGGTGTCGCCGTCCAGGGCATCGCTGACGAGGATGCAGTCCAGCTCATTGCTGATGAGGACCCCGTCCATGGCATCACTAAAGAGGATGCCACCCAGGGCTTCGCGAACAAGGACGCTGCCCAGGGCATCGCTAATGAGGAGGCCATCCACGGCATCCCTAACGAGGTCGCCATCCAGGGCGTCGCTAACGACGACGCCGTCCAGGGCGTCACTCTCGATGACGCCGTCCACGGCGTTGCCGACGGGGTTGCCGTCCAGGGCTGCCGTCCAGGGCAGCGCTAACGATGCCGTCCAGGGCATCGCTAACGAGGACGCCACCCAGGGCATCGCTAACGATGACGCCGTCCACGGCATCACTAACGAGGACACCGCCCAGGGCATCGCCAACTGGGATGCCGTCCAGGACATCGCCAACTGGGATGCCGTCCACTGCATCGCTAACGAAGATGGATTCCACGGCATCGATAACGAGGACGCTGTCCAGGGCATCGCCGACTGGGACGCCGCCCAGGGCATCGCCGACGGGGTCGCCGCCCAGGGCATCGCTCTCGATGATGCCGTCCACGGCATTGCTAATAAGGACGCCGCCCAGGGCATCGCCAACTGGGATGCTGTCCAGGACATCGCTAACGAAGATGGATTCCACGGCATCGATAACGAGGACGCCGTCCAGGGCATCGCCAACTGGGACGTCGTCCAGGGCATCGCCAACTGGGACACCGTCCACAGCTTCGCCGACGGGGTAGCCTTCCACGGCATCGCCGACGGGGACGCCGTCCAGGGCATCGCTCTCGATGACGCCGTCCACGGCATCGCTAATGAGGATGCTGCCCAGGGCATCGCCAACTGGGATGCTGTCCAGGACATCGCTAACGAAGATGGATTCCACGGCATCGATATCGAGGACGCCGCCCAGGGCATCGATAACGAGGACGCCTTCCAGGGCATCGCCAACAGGGAAGCCTTCCACGGCATCGCCGACGGGGACGCCGTCCAGGGCATCGCCGACGGGGTCGCCGTCCACGGCATCGCTGACGGGGTTGTCGTCCACGGCATCGCCGACTGGGACGCCGCCCAGGGCATCGCCGACGGGGACGCCGTCCACGGCATCGCTGACGAGGAAGCCGCCCAGGGCATCGCCAACTGGGATGCTGTCCAGGACATCAATAACGAAGATGGATTCCACGGCATCGCCAACGAGGACGCCACCCAGGGCATCGCCGACGGGGACGCCGCCCAGGGCATCGCCGACGGGGACGCCGTCCAGGGCATCGCCGACTGGGACACAGTCCACGGCTTCGCCAACAGGGTCGCCATCCACGGCTTCGCCAACAGGGTCGCCTTCCACAGCATCGCCAACGGGGTGCCGTCCAGGGCATCGCTAACGAGGAGGCCGTCCACGGCATCCCTGAGGTCGCCGTCCAGAGCATCGCTAACGAGGACGCCGTCCAGGGCATCGCTAACGAAGATGGAGTCCACGGCATCGATAACGAGGACACCATCCAGGGCCTCGCCGACGTGGACGCCGTCCACGGCCTCGCCGACGGGGTCGCCGTCCACGGCCTTGGCGATGGGGTCGCCGTCCAGGGCAGCGCTAACGAGGACGCCGTCCAGGGCATCGCTAACGAGGACGCCGTCCAGGGCATCGCTAACGACGCCGTCCAGGGCATCGCTAACGAGGACGCCATCCACGGTATTGCTAACGAGGATGCCGCCCAGTGCATCGCCAACTGGGATGCCGTCCAGGACATCGCCAACTGGGATGCCGTCCAGTGCATTGCTAACGAAGATGGATTCCACAGCATCGATAACAAGGACGCCGCCCAGGGCATCGCCGACGGAGACGCCGCCCAGGGCATCGCCGACGGGGACGCCGCCCAGGGCATCGCCGACGGGGACGCCGCCCAGGGCATCGCCGACGGGGACGCCGCCCAGGGCATCGCCGACGGGGACGCCGTCCAGGGATTCACTGACTGGGACGCCGTCCAGGGCCTCGCTGACAGGGACGCCGTCCACGGATTCGCTGACAGGCACGCCGTCCATGGCTTCGCTGACGGGGACGCCGTCAAGGGCATCGCTGACGGGGACTCCGCCCAGGGCATCGCTGACGGGGATGCCGTCCACGGCATCGCTGATGGTGTCGCCGTCCAGGGCATCGCTGACGACGCCGTCCAGGGCATCGCTGATGAGGACTCCGTCCAGGGCATCGCTGACGACGCCGTCCAGGGCATCGCTGATGAGGACGCCGTCCAGGGCATCGCTGACGAGGACCATGTCCATGGCATCACTAACGAGGATGCCACCCAGGGCTTTGCTAACAAGGACGCCGCCCAGGGCATCACTAATGAGGACGCCGCCCAGGGCATCGCTAACGAGGAGGCCATCCACGGCATCCCTAACGAGGACGCCGTCCAGGGCGTCGCTAACGAAGATGGAGTCCATGGCATTGATAACGAGGACGCCGTCCAGGGCATCGCCGAGGACGCCATCCAGGGCATCACCAACTGGGACGCCGTCCAGGGCATTGCCAACTGGGACGCCGTCCAGGACATCGCTAACGAAGATGGATTCCACGGCATCGATAATGAGGACGCCGTCCAGTGCATCGCCGAGGACGCCGTCCAGGGCATCGCCACCTGGCACGCCGTCCAGGGCATCGCCACCTGGCACGCCGTCCAGGGCATCGCCAACTGGGACGCCGTCCAGGGCATCGCCGACAGGGACGCCGTCCATGGCTTTGCTGACGGGGATGCCGTCCACGACTTCGCTAGCGGGGACGCCGTCAAGGGCATCGCTGACGGGAATGCCGCCCAGGGCATCGCTGATGGGGACGTCCTCCACGGCATCGCTGACGGTGTCGCCATCCAGGGCATCGCTAACAAGGACGCCACCCAGGGCATCGCTAATGAGGAGGCCGTCCACAGCGTCACTAACGCGGACGCCGCCCAGGGCATCGCCAACGAGGATGCCATCCAGGGCATCGCTAAAGATGACACCGTTCAGGGCATCGCTAACAAAGATGGAGTCTACGGCATTGCTGAGGACGCTGCCCAGGGCATCGCTAATGAGGACGCCGACCAGGGCATCGCTAATGAGGACACCACCCAGGGCATCGCCAACGAGGAAGCCGCCCAGGGCATCGCCGAGGACGCCATCCAGGGCATCGCCAACGAGGAGGTTGCCCAGGGCATCGCCAATGGGGTCGCCGCACAGGGCATCGCCAATGAGGACGCCACCCAGGGCATCGCCAACTGGGACGCCGTCCACGGCTTCGCCAACGGGGACGCCGTCCTCAGCTTCGCCAACGGGGACGCCGCCCAGGGCATCGCCAACGGGGACGCCACCAAGGGCATGGGCAACGAGGTCACCATCCACGGCATCGCTAACGAGGACGCCGTCCAGGGCATCGCTAACGAGGTGGCCGCCCAGGGCATCGCCAACGAGGACGCCGCCCAGGGAATCGCCGAGGATGTCGCACAGGGCATCGCCAACGAGGACGCCGCCCAGGGCATCGCCAACAAGGAGGCCGCCCAGGGCATCGCCAACGAGGACGCCGCCCAGGGAATCGCTGAGGACGTCGCACAGGGCATCGCCAACGAGGATGCCGCCCAGGGCATCGCCAACGAGGAGGCCGCCCAGGGCATCGCCAACAGGGTCGCCGCCCAGGGCATCGCCAATGACGCCACCCAGGGCATCGCCGAGGACACCGCCCAGGGCTTCGCCAACGACGACGCCGTCCAGGGCATCGCTAACGAGGACGCCGTCCTGGGCATCGCCAACGACGACGCCGTCCAGGGCATCGCTAATGAAGATGGAGTCCACGGTATCGATAACGAGGACACCGCCCAGGGCATCGCCAACTGGGACTCCGTCCAGGGCCTCGCCGACGGGGACGCCGTCCAGGGCCTCGCTGACTGGGTCGCCGTCCAGGGCCTCGCTGACGGGGACGCCGTCAAGGGCATCGCTGATCGGGACGCCGTCAAGGGCATCGCTGACGGGGACGCCGCCCAGGGCATCCCTGACGGGGACGTCGTCCACGGCATCGCTGACGAGGACACCATCCAGGGCATCGCTGACGAGGACGCAGTCCAGCTCATCGCTGACGAGGACCCCGTCCATGGCATCACTAACGAGGACGCCGCCCAGGGCATCACTAACTAGGACGCCGCCCAGGGCATCGCTAACTAGGACGCTGCCCAGGGCATCGCTAACGAGGACGCCGCCCAGGGCATCGCTAACGAGGACACCGTCCATGGTATCCCTAAAGAGGTCACCGTCCAGGGCGTCACTAACGAGGACGCCGTCCAGGGCGTCGCTAACGATGACGCCGTCCAGGGCGTCGCTAACGAGGACGCCGTCCACGGCGTCGCTAACTGGGACGCCGCCCACGGCGTCGCTAACGAGGACGCCGCCCACGGCATCGCTAACGAGGTCGCCGCCCACGGCTTCGCTAACGAGGACGCCCTCCACGGCATCGCTAACGAGGATGCCGTCCACGGCATCGCTAACGAGAAAATCAAATGTTAACCAGCAGTGCCCTGCTTCAACACCATCATCGGAAGTCATAAGTTGAACTCTTTTTTGATGTTTAAAGCCTGCATAATATTCGCTGTGTTATTATTCAGCCTATTACTATTTCCTTCATGATGGAAATTTGGTTTATCCCAATTTTCTATTCTATCAAAACACCGCTACATAAAAAATCCCCATGCACATATTTCTCCTAATTGTGGAAATATTTTACCTAAAAGACTCTAGACATGGGATGAAATTCCCAGGTTACTGGAATTTTAAAATAGATAGGTACTTCCAAATTGACCTCTTACAAATTATATGAATTTGTAAGCTTCCAACTGTTATGGAGTTACCCCTTTTGAGAAATCTGTGCTAAAAGGACCCAAACAATGCTGATGACAATGATCAGGATAATAAGTACGCTGGGAAGAGAACAAAATGATTTAGATCTTAGACAAGTCATTCTAGGTGTCTCCACTGTTTCAGTTCTCGCGTTCGTTCATTCTTGTGCTTTTTCGTTTTACCAAATAAAATAGCCCCTTGATGTCATATGAATCCACGCTATGCTTAATGAGTATTGGTTAGTAAAATGCCTATAACTAGTAATCTTCATCTATGCAATTAAATATTAATTCATAAAACACTTCAAATGTAAACAATAATTAGTAAATGAAAAGTACATAATACCTCGATTAGAAAAAAATCACTCCATTAAAAGACATTATTTGTGTGATAAAAGAGTTTGCCATTTTTGTATTTTTCTACAAGGTTAAAGAAAACTGAGTCAACTTATACAAGTGAATTTTAAAAGACTTTAGGGTGGGCGTGGTGGCTGACACCTGTAATCCCAACACTTTGGGAGGCCGAGGAGGGCAGATCACCTGAGGTCAGGAGTTCGAAACCAGCCTGACCAACATGGTGAAATCTCATTTCTACTAAAAATACAAAAAAAATTAGCCCAGTGTGGTGGCACGTGCCTATAATCTCAGCTACTTGGGAGGCTGAGACAGGAGAATAGTTTGAACCTCGGAGGCGGAGGTTGCAGTGAACCAGGATTGCACCATTGCACTCCAGCTTGGGCAACAAGAGCGAAACTCCATCTCAAAAATAAATAAAAAATAAATAAGTAAATAAATAAAAGCCTTTAACCCAGAATGCTGAGTAAATTGTCCAAAAATGCTAACCTATGCATTTCAATACTATAGGAGTCGTGTAGGTAGAAATAACTAGATGAAATACTTCTGGTATTTCACCTTCCCAACTCACACGAGCCAGTGTTTTTCTGTGAATAACAAAAACAGCAGAATTTACTTGCCTATCCATAAGAGGTTACCACTTCTGTGTGTTCCCCTGAAACAAGTGGTGGCTGGGTGAGAAGGTGGACAGCACTAGGGTAGGAGATGGGGGCTCCAGTATCGTGGGTGAGCTTCCTAAACCTCTGCAACTTTCAGCCCCTAAATGGGATGAGCCATCAGAATTTTTAGCACAATGCCCAGAACAAAGTAAGGATTTGACAAATGATGCCTCTCTCCACATTGTTCTGTCATCAGCCACCGCATCCTGTACCTCCAAGCCCACTGGGCTCCGGCTGTTTCCATCACATGGAGAATGACTCAGAGCCTGGCATCCAGCCACCCTCCTGGCCTTTCTGCTTCTCACTCTGCCACTGGCTCCTCATGGACCAGCCTGGGTGTCCTCAGATATACCGCAAACTTCACTGTGGGAGTCACGTAGCCCTCACTGCTCCTTCACCAGGGAGCCACGGGGCTTTCCTCCTCAGGAGGACTCTGCAAGCAGCTGGATGAAGGGCCCTCCCATCTCTCATCCTTCCTTAACTTTTGTCACAGTTCTCCTTCCTTCCACTCAGTGCTGCACACACTGATTGATCCTCCATCTTCCCCAAAAGACAGGAACAGCATGAGCAGTAGAGAGTAGATTCCAATGATAGAAAAAATAGTGATTTCTCATTTCCATTGATCATCAATGAAGAAAATGTATCCTGAAGGTCATGTACCTCCTATGGGACTGCTGCATCCTCAGCCTCCTGAATTTCAGCCCAGCACCTTCCTCCCCAGCACAGCAACAGGTCAGCCCTTACCAGCATCCCTCTCTTATTGCCTTTGTGCACAGCCAGCACCAGGGCCGGGGGAGGCCTTGGGATTGTCCCTCCCCAACAATCTGTGAAACAATCCTTTATGTCACCAACAAAGCACAGCCTTATGCATTGGTGGTCAGTCCCTCCCAACACCTCTGTCACTGTAAAGCTGGCAGGCAACCCTCCAAGGTTGGCCTTCCCAAGCACTGCACCTCTAGGTGACAGAGCACGTCCTTACCTTGAGGCCTGGGCACCCAGTCTATCCTGTCCAGTGAGCGAGCTGTGGAGAAGGGGGGATTTCGGGTTAAGGGGAGACTAGCAGGGCTCCTGCTTTTATGTTGCCCTGTTGGGAATGCTATTAAAGAAACACAAAGTGCTAAGCAGTGAGGATAGAACATGTTTTCATTATTTAAACCAATACATTCCACAGATGGAATAATAAGAAATGCTACAACCAAGCTAACCGAATCCAACAGCATAACAAAAAGATAATCCACCATGATTCAAGTGGGTTTCATACTAGGGATGCAGGGATGGTTTAACATAGGCAAGTCAATACATGTGATACATCACATAAATAAAACTAAAAACAAAAATCACATGATAATCTGAATAGATGCAGAAAAAGCCTTTGACAAAATCCAGCATTTCTTTATGATTAAAACCGTTCATCAAAATTGGCATAGAATGGACATACCTTAAGGTAATAAAAGCTATCTATGACAAACCCACAACCAACATTTTCCTGAATGGGGGAGAGTTGAAAGCATTCCCCCTGAGGACGGGAACAAGACAAAGATGCCCACGTTCACCACTTCTTAACACAGTGCTGTTCACTACAGCATTGGTTATAAGAGCAAGACTGGAAACAGAATGAATGGATACCCATAGCGGGGTGCTTAAGTAATTTTGGGAATAGTCATAGGGTGCAGTACTTTATAGCTCTGAAACAATACAATGGATTTACATTTGAAATGTGGAATGATAACTAAGGTGCATTGCCCAGTGATATATGCAGAGGTGCAGAGGACTTTGTGTAAACACGATCACACATCAGCATGCATTCCAGGTGCATGTTTCTATTTGCACATAGATTGCAGGGATGATAGGCAAACAAAAATGTTGACTTGGTGTTTGGAAGTTCAGAGTGGAAGGGAAACTTCCTTGCTAACCTTTTATGATATTTAGAGTTTCTAAATGTGAATACGTAATACATTTAGAAATCTTAGTTAATAAGAAAAGCCTCTGTTCCTGGCCTCTTGCTGGCACATGTCAGGTGGAAATGGGGCTGTAATGCTAATGTGTGCAAACTGAGAAAAATCCAAGAATGGGAGTCTGCTTTTTTCATCATACAAATAATTGTGAATAGAAACAGTATGATAATTGCTCATTGATATACCATGCATATTCTATTAGATAATAATAAATTTCTGAAATTTGAACTATACTTACACATGGAAATTGAAATATATGGATGAAACATTGTGGCTTATATAGGCAATTGTTTTATTGGCGTTTTACAAACTGATCATCATTTCTCATGGCACGGGTCCATGTGATATTAAGTAGCTTGTTATGTTTGGGAAAGGCAGTGATGACCACAAGAATGACTTCAACTACTAAAGTACAATGGAGATTTCAACAATGTTTTGTTTAAATATTTCATTGTGCTCCCAGGCTTTTTCTCACCCTAATAGCTCTCATCCATATAATGTTGGTCCCATTAATACAGATACCTCCGAATGCACCACTCTTCCATTATATCCAGTCAATTGCTGGTTACCTTGGGCCTACAACTGTGGGAGGGCAGGGGCTGCTGGCCACCTGCTCATCTACAGTAAGAGTCAATGAGCAGTTAAGTGGATACTGATAACCATTTATCCTGCTGGAGTGAGAAATAAATGGTTTCTTTCAACAGCGTAGTAAAATGCATCTTTTCCAAACTATTTATATGACTCAAGGCCCATCTCAATTTCAGATGTGGTTAGCCTCAATTCCTGATTCTCACCAAGGTGTGTAATGTCATCCACAGCCCAGTGCAGAGGAACACAGGTGCTGCCGTTAGACTGCCAGGGTCCGATCCCTCCTCCTCACTCACCCCGGGAGATCCCTTTAAGCCAGGAGTCAACAGTGAGGATGGAAACATGAGTGCTTTTTAAAGTCCTGAAAGTTCAGAGGCCGACTGTCAGTTTCTCCTCCACCCCTGAGCACACACCAGGAGAACTCTGTCTCCGGGTTGAAGGAAGTGCCTGTGAGAGAGTTGTGTCCCTCAGATTCTGTTCACCACAGGTGACACTCGATGCAACCCCAAACCTCTTCTGCACAATCCCAAGGGGTGCTGACTAATCCAACCCAAAGGCTGTGATGTTTGGCAGAGGCAGAAAAGAAAAGGCCAGGTGTTCTGGGAAAGACCACCTTCAAATAACACAGCACCCTCATAGCCCAGAGAGACAGTTCTAACTATTATGCCAATAAACCTGGAAAAGACCAAATACAGTATGACACATATTTCCTGTTTCATTTTGATTTCATGCCCCCTCCCTTAACCTCCCAAGCAGCATGGATACCCCGAAGGCCCCTGGGAACTCTCTCCCATTGGATCTTACGTGGAAAGTAGTTACCTACCTACAAATCCCCATCATCGGATATGCTCTCCACAATCAAATCTTCAGAAACACAAACACCAGGATAAGTCATTAGAGAGAGTCCCACCCACTCCCACCCCAGCTGAAGCCATGGTGCTTCGCACAGGATCCCCTGGTGTTTCACCATCTTGGCCAGGCTGGTCTCGGGCTCCTGACCTCATGAACCACCTGCCTCAGCCTCCTAAAGCGTTGGGATTACAGGCCTAAGGCACCATGCTTGGCCATATTTATTTATTTAATTATTTAGAGACAAAGTCTTGCTCTGTCACCAAGGCTGGAGTGCAGTGGCGCCATCTCAGCTCACTGCAGCTTCCACCTCCGAGATTTAAGCGATTCTCATGCCTCAGCCTCCTGAGTAACTAGGACTACAGATACTCACCACCACGCAGGGATTTTTTTTTTCTATTTTTTTGTAGAGACACGGTTTCACCATGTTGGCCAGGCTGGTCTCAAACTCCTGACCTTAGGTGATCGGACAGCCTCGTTCTCTCTAAGTACTGGAATTACAGGCATGAGCCCCTTGCCCGGCCTCTCACTACATTTAAGTGACGCCATGGCTCATGCCTGTAATCCTAGCACTTTGGGAGGCCAAGGCAGGTGGATCACCTGAGGTCAGGAGTTCGACACAAGCCTGGCCAACATGGGGAAAAACCGTCTCTAGTAAAAATACAAAAATTAGTCAGGCGTGGTGGTACAAGCCTGTAGGCCCAGCTACTTGGAAGACTGAGGCAGGAGAATCACTTTAACCGGGAGGCAGAGGTTGCAGTGAGCCAATATCATGCCACTGCACTCCAGCTTGTGTGACAGAGTGAGACACTGTCTCAAAAAAAAAAGAAAAAAAAAAGAGAAAAAAATATGATGCCGGGGCATCTCAGCCTAAATACCTGCGTGAGCACAGTCATGTCCAGGCCAGGGCTGCTGGTCGAGGTCCAGCCCCATCTCTTCCAGCAGAAAGGGAGTAAGCTTGTGGGGTGGCTGGGGGACAAGATCCCAGGAACTTGGCCTCTGCTCATGGATCAGCTCTGAGACCCCAAGTGAGCTGGGGGTGCTCTGTGCGCATGGGTTTCCCCAGCTGTCAAGTAAAGGGATTGGATGAGGAAGTGTTGTCAAGGTGGAATGATCTCAGATTTGGGCAGCAGTGAATGATCCCACTCCCTGGGCCATGCCAGTGGCCTGGCCTCGGCTGAACACAGCCCCAACACTCTGGAATGGGGATGAGGGGGCAGTCAGCTCTTGCTCCTAGTAAGAGAGATGCAACAGGGCTCTGTGGCTGAGCTGGGTGCCTTGCCTCACACCGGTAATCCCAACCTTTGAGAGACCGAGGCAGGAGGATTGCTCCAGGCTGGGAATTTTGAGAATAGCCTGGACAACATAGCCAGACCCCATGTCTACAAACTAATAATAAAACACACAGCTATAGTCCAAGCTACTTGGCAGGCTGAGGCAGGAGGGTCCCTTGAGTCCAGGAATTGGAGGCTGCATTGAGCTATAATCACACCACTGCACTCCAGCTTGGGTGACAAAGTGAGACCCTGTCTCTAAAAGAAAAAAAATTGGCCTGTGAGCATGGGTTTGATTTTCAAACAGGACCCGGAGGGTAGGGTAAACGTGTGGGTAAATCTAAATGAATGTTATTGGTATAAAATTACAGTAGTATAGAAAATGATATCTTGTGGGGTTTAAAATAAACATACTGAAATATGTATGGGTACAGTTATATATCTGGGATTTGCACTGAAATAATGTGGGGTAGAGGGAAGCAGGAAAGAGTATACATGAAATGAGCTTGGCCATAAGATTGTTGTTGAAATTGAATGGATACGTGGGGCTTCATTACACAATTCTCTTTACTCTTACATAGCTCTACACTCTCAACATAAATAAGAATAAAAACACAAAAAACACACAGGTACATCTATGCACACACACATATTTAAAATACACAAAAATATTAGCATATAAGTCACTGGGGGTAAATTTAGTTCCTGTTCCAAGGTTCTTGTACTGACTAGGAAGAGGATAGAAGTACTAACTCATAGGCTGGGCGCGGTGGCTCACGCCTGTAATCCCAACACTTTAGGACGCCGAGGTAGGCAGATCTCTTAAGGTCAGGAGTTCAAGACCAGCCTGGCCAACATGGTGAAACCCTGTGTCTACTAAAAAAGAATACAAAAATTGGCCGGGCATAATGGTGCACACCTGTGGTCCCAGCTACTCAGGTGACTGAGGCAGGAGAATTGCTTGAACCCAGGAAGTGGAGGTTGCAGTGAACCAAGATTGCTCCACTGCACTCCAGCCTGGGCAGCAGAGGAAGACTCTCTCTATCTCAACAACAACAACAAAAAGTACTAGCTCATGTTAGACTTTGATAAGTGAAGGATGCATGTTGTAAGCTCAAAATAATCCAGTCATCTTTTAAAATAACTCTAAGACTGCACAGTTATGAAACTAATAGAGAAGGAGGAAATTAAATAATAAAAATAATAAATCCAAAACAAGATGTGAGAGGAGATAAGAAGAAATAGAATAGGCATGGAAAACAAATTGGTGGTGGGTTTCAACCCAAATAAATCATTAGTTACATTTAAAAGGACAATAAAAATTAAAATAATTGAAAATAAAGTAAAACCCAACTAATGCCTTTTATATAAGGATACAGAGAGGTGGAAAATAATGAAAAATAAGTCATGCATGCACTAACCAAGAAAGCTGTATAACTTTTTTTTTTTTTTTTTGGAGATAGAGTCTCACTCTGTCTCCCAGGCTGGAGTGCAGTGATGTGATCTTGGCTTACAGCAATCCCTCCCTTCTAGGCTCAAGCGATTCTCCCACCTCAGCATCCCAAGTAGCTGGGACTACAAGTGTGCCAACTTAGAATTATATTAGCCACACCCAGCTAATTTTCGTATTTTTTGTAGAGGCAGGGTCTCGCCATGTTGCCCAGGTTGGTCTTGAACTCCTGGGCTTCAGTGATCCACCCACCTCGAACTCCAACAAAGTGCCAAGATTACAGCCATGAGCCACCATGCCCAGCATAACTATTTTTAATGAAGTAGACTTTAAGAAGAAAGTATTATTAGAGGTAAGAGACACATCACGGAAAAGAAGAATTTACTAGGAGCCAGGCGCAGTGGCTCATGCCTGTAATTCCAGCACTTTGTGAGGCCAAGGCGGTGGATCACCTGAGGTTGGGGGTTCAAGACCAGCCTGACCAACATGGAGAAGCCCTGTCTGTACTAAAAATACAAAAATTAGCCAAGCATGGTGGCACATGCCTGTAATCCCAGCTACTCAGGAGGCTGAGGGAGGAGAATTGCTTGGACCCAGGAAGTGGAGGTTGTGGTGAGCTGAGATTGTGCCATTGCATTCCAGCCTGGGCAACAAGAGCAAAACTCTGTCTCAAAAAAAAAAAAAAAAAGTTACTAGCTAGTTTCAGTAATTCTTAACATCCAGGAAACTGGATGTGAAAGCTTTTCAGAGAAACTAAACCAATAGATTATACATAGAGAGAGATTTATTTAGGAATTGGCTCACATGATTGTGGGGACTAGCAAGTTTAAAATCTGTAGGGCAAGCCAGCAGGCTATAAATTCAGGTAAGGGTTGATCTCGAAGTCTGGAACCTAACATCTGTAGAGCAGTCAGCAGGCCAGAAACTCAGGCAGGGTTTCTGTGTTACAGTCTTGAAGCAGAATTCCTGCTTCTCTGGGAAACCTGTTTTTGTTCTTAAGGCCTTCAACTGATTGGAGGTGGCCCACCCATATTATGGTGGGTAATCTGTTTTACTTAAAGTCAATTGACTGTCAGTGTTAACCACATCTATGAAATAACCTCCCAGCAAGATATTGACAAGTATTTGACCAAACAACGGGGCACCATAGCTTAGCCAAGTTGACACATAAATTAACCATCAGGAACGAGTAGAATATCCAAAAAACAACATACTAGGGGTATTATATCTTATATAGCAATTATAATTATATAAAACATATAATTATAGAATGAAGATATTAAGATAACCATTAGAACAAAAATATAAACTTTTCTTTCTTTTTTTTTTTTTTTTGAGACCAAGTCTTGCTCTGTCACCCAGGCTGGAGTGCAGTGGTGCAATCTTGGCTTACTGCAACATTTGCCTCCTGGGTTCAAGTGATTTTCCTGTCTCAGCCTCCCAAGTAGCTGGGATTACAGGCACCCACTACCATGCCCAGCTAATTTTTGTATTTTTAGTAGAGACGTGTTTTCACCATGTTGCCCAGGCTGGTCTCCAACTCCTGACCTCACGTGAGCCACCCCCCTCGGCCTCCCAAAGTGCTGGGATTACAGGTGTGAGCCACCACACCCAGCCAAAAATCACCTTTTCTACAAGGATCAAAACAGTTATTATGCTGGAGATGACAGACCTCACTGTCACCATGCTCCTTTTGTATGTCTACTAGGCACGGTGCTGGGTCCACACTCACACAAAGCTTAGGAGCTCGCACCCAGGGGCTCCAGCTGTAGCAGAATCCTAAGAATAAAACCTGGTGCTGAAAGAGTAGGAGATGAGGCCGGGCGCCATGACTCATTCCTGTAATGCTAGCACTTTGGGAGGCCAAGGTGGGCTAATCAAGAGATAGAGACCATCTGGCCAACATGGTGAAACCCCGTCTCTACTAAAAATACAAAAATTAGCTGGGCATGGTGGCTGGCACCTGTAGTCCCAGCTACTCAAGAGGCTGAGGCAGGAGAATCATTTGAACCGAGGAAGCAGAGGTTTCAGTGAGCTGAGATCGCGCCACTGCACTCCAGCCTGGTGACAGAGTGAGACACCGTCTCAAAAAAAAAAAGCAGGACACTGAACTCTGGGAGGGCCTCCTGGTGAGAGGTGAGCACAGAGGGGAGAGATGGAGGCAGGAGCATGGGCTTCTGGTGGCCCCAGCAGACCCCGTGGCAGTGTGGCCAGGGTCCTCTGCAGGGAGGAATCTTGGCCAGGATGACGATGTAGCAGGCCTCTTCCTGAGGCCTCCAGCCAGCCCGGCCAGGGTCCCAGCATCCAGTGACCCCTGTTTCACAGCAGCAGCTGGGGCCAGCCCCAGGCTCTCTTCCACTCTCAGCTTCTTAAAACTGGAAGTGGAGAGAGTTGTTTGATAAAACACTGGGGCAAACCACATCCTCTCTTCACCAAGGGAGAGTTCGAGGGGATGCCGGCAGAGGGAGCTTTAGAGTAGAGACCCCTACCCAACCAGTGACCATCACGCACACAGCAAGGCATGCTATGGAGACCCCCAGACAGTCACTCGGTGAGACCCAGCAGGTCCAGACTCTTCAGAGATCTGTGGCAGCAGGTCCCCACTCCCAAAAGCCACGTGCCCATGGGTGGTCTCTGGTGCCTGAGACCCCAGTCTCATTTGCATCTTTGCAACTTCGAGTTTAAGTGGGTGTCGCATCCCTGTATGTGCTCCTGAGCAGAGGAGGGGCACAGCCCGGGGTGGCAGCTGGCGTCAAACCCTCAAATCCCCTGAGAGCCACTGGGGAGACTAAGCAGTCCCCAGCCCCCACTTGTCCCTGAGCTGCCATTCTCAGCCCTGTGGGAGGAGACAGAAAGCCCTAAAGAGAAACCAAAGGACCAGGTCAGGAGGGGCTGGGGGGTGGTGTGAGCAATCAGGGCAGGGAAGGATGGACAGATGGGGGAATGGAGGGAAGAAGGAATGAATGAAAAGGTGAATGAATGAACAAAGAGAGAGAACGGCCACTCCTCCCTTGCTTTAGTTTACAAAGTACTGGGATCCTCCCAACAGCCTGCAAGACAGAATTTCTGGGAAGCAGACCAGGTGGCTGGCAGGGAGGGGAGGCTTGCCCTGGCTTTTGTGGGCCCAATGGGAGGCAGGGGGCAGGAAGGGGCATCCTGTATGTGTCCTCCCTGCAGCAGCAGCAGCACCTTCCTGGAAGAGGGTCAGGAAACACCCACTGTGGCCCCTCTCCACCACGCCCTCATCCAGGACACCAAGTATCAGTCACTCAGCTCACGAGACCCAGGCCCTGACTCAGGGAGAGAGGATGTGAGGGGTGGGGCACCGGGCTCCCCAGGACTGAGAGACCTGAGATGTGGCCCCGGGCTGGGTGTTGGGGCAGACTGGCTATGGCAGCATTGTGTGTACCCCAGCAGGCCAGTACCCACGCAGGGAGCCTCCAAACCCCTTCACCCTTGACCCTGGGAGAAGACCCCAGCCTTGGAGAATTGGCCTCACTGAAGGGGCCTGCACCGGCCAGCAGGGTCAGGCGGGGCCAGACAGGTTCCCACCTGGGATATGCAAATGGGCCTCCTGAATCCTGGAGCCAGGTATGGACTCACACACCACCATTGTCCCCAAGTCCCCATCTGCCCCACGGGCACACCCTGCCACCTGTTCTGTGCAAGGGCCCTGAGGCTGTCTCCTTGCGCTCAAGCCCTGCAGGTGCTGAAGCCCACACACACAGCTCCTGCTTCCTGGGCCAGTGCACGTGCACACACACACACACGCGCACACACACCCCCACACATACACATACCCACACACAATCACACACATTCACACATACCCACACCCCCCATACTCACACTCACACACTCACACACACCCACAAACACGCACACATACACTCACACACACAATCACACACATTTACACACACCCACACACCCACACACTCACACTCACACTCACACACACCCTCACACAGCGAAACACAATCACACATATTCACACCCACCCACACCCCCACACTCACACTCATATACTCACACACACCCACACACTCACACATACACAAACACAATCACACACATTCACACACACCCACACTCACACATACACACACCCAAACACGATCACACACATTCACACCCACCCAAACCCCACAGACACACTCACACATATACCCACACACACTCACACATAATCTCACATACCCACACACACTCACACTCACACATAATCTCACACACACACACACATGCTCACACACACACGCCTTCTCCAGGAGGGGCTGGCTGCCAAGGGCCACCCAGCTTCCTCCCACGTCTCACTCACCGTACAACATTTGAGCAGACCTTGGAGTCAGCAGCAACAGCAGCGGGGACAAAGGCCTGGGGGCCACATGGGGCCTGGTGTCGAGAGAGGAACACAGCCAGCACAATCACAGCCAGCGCCAGCCCCAGCCCCAGCCCCAGCCCCAGCAGGACCAGGTCAACCATGGCTCCGCAGTCCTGGGCCATGGCTCTGTGGCCCAGAAGGAGAGGGGAGGCCGGTGGGCAGACGGAGGGACAGATGGTTGGGCAGATGAATAGACAAGAAGATGCATAGATAGACTCACAGGTAATTGGACAGATGGACAAACAGGTGGGGGCTGAAGACAGACACGAAGATGGATCGACAGACAGGCCAGATAGCTAGAAAAAGTGGACAGTAAGAGAAAGATGGTCAGATAGACAATGGGACAGAGATGGGCTTACAGTTGGGCGGACAGACAGACAGGTCTGAACAGCGGGCTGCCAGATGGACAGATGGGTGAATGGACAGATGGCTGGCAGCTGTGGTGAGCTGCTGCCCTCACCAAGTGCACACTACGGAGTGGCCAAACTCATGCCTCAACTTCTAGTTTTCAGCTCCTGCTTGTTCCTGGCAGGAGGCCAGGCAGCAAAGCGTCTGAGGGGAGTTTTCTTTGCCTAGAGAAGTCAGCTGCTGTGTTAACTCCCTCACTGCTGGTAGGTCCAAAGGCCCCACCTACTGCCTGCCAGAGCCCATGGTCACACTGTCGCAATGTGCAGGAGAACTTGGTGCCTGCTGCACTGCTGTTGCCAGGTAGGGGCAGGGCTCCCCGGAACCTCCACACCATTCCCCAGGTTCTCAGCTGCTCTGGGAAAGCAGAGTTGGGGCCGCTTAACTCTGCCCTGGATCTGGCAAGGCTGCCCCCCTCCCAGAGTGGAGCCCTGCTCCCCAGCTCCCATCTCTATCCCCTAACCCTCTCCGCATGGCCCAGCCTAGTCAGCATCAAGGTGGAGCTGAACAGAGGCAGAAGGAGGAGGACCCAAGGTGGTGTCACTCAGGACCCGGGTTCAAGTCCTTATGCTTCTGCAGCCTGGCCTGGGTCCCCCAAACCCCCAAGGTTAACAAGGGCTTCCCAGTCTGCACAGAGGACAGGGGGACTTGACAGCATCAAATGCTGGTGACTATGAGACACTTATGTGGGAAATGCAGACAGACCATGCCTCTAGCCCTTGGTACCCGGCACCATCCATCCCTGGGACTTGCTGTCCTGGAAATGCAGCATGGACCTCCAGGGAGGGGGGCTGTGCCATGTGGGGGCCCCACCCCACCTGCAGCTCTTTCCCACCCTGGCTGCAGGTCTGCTTCCCTGAATCCAAATCCGCTACTACTGTGCTGGCAGCACAGCCTCTCTGGGGACACTGGCCTGGCTCTGTTCTCCCCAGGCCTCAGGGTGCCTAAATGGGAGGCAGCCAGGGGAGTGAGGACCCACTGAGGGGCTCCGTTGACCCGGCTCAGCAGGGGTGCAGGTGATGTGGGGTGGAATCCTTCCCACATGGCCCCCACAGTCCTCCCCGCTTCCTCCCCAGCTGAACACTGCCTGCTCCAGATGTCTACACCTGGAGTCCGGGCCCCTCCATCTGGGCAGCAGAGAAACTGAGGCACAGAGACAGACTGTGTCCTTACAGGCCACACAGCCTGCCAGGCCCCTATGTCTGGCCAGAGCCCCTGGTCAGCCTGGGCTGCAGTGATTGTTTAGAGGTAGGCTGTTCCCACGGCTGCCTCTCACGGTATGGGGGCCTGTGGACGCCTCCTCCTGCCCCCACCCGACTCCCAAGCCTCAGTGACATTGCTCAACCAGGAGCTGAAGTGCATTCCTCGGCTCAGGCCAGCCCACCCATCGACCCGCTGCAGTCCTGGAAGCCCAGAGGCCTGGGCAGCAGGAACAGTGGAGACAGCAGTGTGGGGGACGTCCCCCCTCCTCTCCCCACCATCCTCATCAGGCAGAGGCCAGGGTGCAGGGACCATCCGAGCAAAGGCCCAGGGAAACGAATGGGTGTCATTCTGGTCCTGACCCGAGGCACAGCCAGGAAGGTCCCTGTGGGGAAAAGAAAGAGATATCAGACTGTTACTGTGTCTATGTAGAAAGAAGTAGACATAAGAGACTCCATTTTGTTGTGTAGTAAGAAAAATTCTTTTGCCTTGAGATGCTGTTAATCTGTAACCGTACCCCCAACCCTGTGCTCACAGAAACATGTACTGTGTCGACTCAAGGTTTAATGGATTTAGGGCTATGCAGGATGTGCTTTGTTAAACAAATGCTTGAAGGCAGCATGCTTGTTAAGAGTCATCACCACTCCCTAATCTCAAGTAAGCAGGGACACAAAACACTGCAGAAGGCCACAGGGACCTCTGCCTAGGAAAGCCAGGTATTGTCCAAGGTTTCTCCCCAAGTGACAGTCTGAAATATGGCCTCCTGGGAAGGGAAAGACCTGACCATCCCACAGCCCGACACCCCAAAGGGTCTTTGCTGAGGAGGATTAATAAAAGAGGAAGGCCTCTTTGCAGTTGAGATAAGAGGAAGGCATCTCTCTCCTGATCGTCCCTGGGCAAAGGAATGTCTCGGTGTAAAACCCGATTGTATATTCCATCTACTGAGATAGGAGAAAACTGCCTTAGGGCTGGAGGTGAGACATGCTGGCGGCAATACTGCTCTTTAATGCATTGAGATGTTTATGTATATGCACATCAAAGCACAGCACCTTTTTCTTAACCTTGTTTATGACACAGACATTTGTTCACGTGTTTTCCTGCTGACCCTCTCCCCACTATTACCCTATTGTCCTGCCACATCCCCCTCTCTGAGATGGTAGAGATAATGATCAATAAATACTAGGGAACTCAGAGACTGGTGCCAGCGTGGGTCCTCCATATGCTGAGTGCAGGTCCCCTGGGCCCACTTTTCTTTCTCTATACTTTGTCTCTGTGTCTCTTTCTTTTCTCAGTCTCTTGTCCCACCTGATGAGAAACACCCACAGGTGTGGAGGGGCAGGCCACCCCTTCAGGTCCCTGAATGTCCTTCCTCAGGAAATGATGGGGGAAGGGGTGATGAGAATGAAGGAGAGGATTTAAGTCCCTCACCCCCCGAGGTAGTCCTGGGCTGAGCCCCATGGGACCTGGAGAACCAGGGTGTACCCCACCAGCGTGTTGGGTCCAGGAAGTCTCATGGCCAGCTCCCACTTCTCTTGCTGCTGTGCAACCCAGAGCAAGGCCTGCCCCTCCAGCTTTAGTCTTCTCCCCTGCAAATGGGGCCACGGCTTTTCCTCTCAGGCCAAAATAAGGATTGAGGCCGGGTGCAGTGGCTCACCCCTGTAATCCTAGCACTTTGGGAGACTGAGATTGGGGGACTGCTTGAAGTCAGGAGTTAAGACCAGCCTGGTCAACATAGTGAGACCCCATCTCTATTGGTTTAAATTTTTTTAAAAAAAATTAAATAAATAAAATAAGGATTGAAGAGTGACTTGTACACCAGTTGAGCCTACCTCCACCTCACCCTTGCAGAGCCCCAGAGACACAGCCCTCCAGAGCTCAGACCCAGTGGGACTTGACTCCACAGGCATAAAACCCTGTTTGTCTATGGGCCCTTTGGAATCACCAGGTTTTTGGGGCTCCTGAAGGATAGCCCCGACCTGGCCTCACCTGGCCCCTGGCCCCAGTGCCCCTGGTGATATCCAGGTGCTGGGCTGTGATCACCGCCTCCCACCAGCCCACCTCCACCAGCCCTTCCCAGAACCCTGCTCCAGGTGTTGGAACTGTGCACAGAGGAGGGAGCAGGCCCCAAGGGAGGCCTGGAGGGGCTGCCAATGGTGAAGGCTGCTGTGTCTAGCTGTTTCCTTCTGGACCCACTCCCTCTGGGCTGCGTCCCCAGCTGGTCCAAGCCCTGATCCCTGGGATCTGGGGACATCTTCCCGTTTGCTGTTCCCTGAGAACCAGGCCTCCCTCTGGAGAGGATCACAAGCTTGGGTTTCACTCTGGGCTTGCTCTTGGGAACCCCCGAGGGGCGTGGCTCTGACCGAGATGTTTTCCTCCAGCCTGTTGCCCAGTCCCCATTCCTCGGACCTCAGCTTCACCGCCAGTGTCATCGGCAGGGTGAGCTGGAGGCCTACGGGTCTGAGAAGGCGCCCAGGTTCCCAGCATCAGCTGGCCACCCTCTGCCTAAGAAAGCGCCAGGGTCGTGACACCCCCTGGTGGCTGATCCTAGGTAGTGTCACTGCCCAGCCCCAGTAAGGGAGGGCCTGGCCCCAAAGTCCGAGGGATCAGGGTGGGAAGGGGCAGGGTTTGGTGTGAACCTTCCCCTGGCCCCCAGCCATGTGCCCGGCTCTCCCCATGCTGAAGATGCTGAGGCTAGTTCCAGTGCCCGCATTGTGAAGATCTCCGAATCCCACCTCTCTGTTCCTCCCCAGCCAGATGGCTCCATTTCACACACAATACACTGAGGCCCAGAGAGTGGGGAGACAGGCCAGGGAGGCCACCTGGAGCCTGGCACAGTGGCCTCATTTATTATGCTGCTCTGCTGCTCACAGGGGAAGCCCGTCCCCCAAAGTCCTCTTCCTCGTCCTCGTGAGTATCTTGTCCCTGGATTGCTTGTCAGCCTTGTCTGCCCGGAGCACTCAGTAGCCGGCAGGCTCCCCACCTTTCCTGGAGTCTGAGGCAGCTGCCCAGCCACCAGCCGTGCGGACGATGGCTTGCACCACAGCGATGAAGGTGGACGCGATCTGGGTGTGATGGTGCCGGGTCTCCAGGGCTGCAGTCACTGCCTGGGGGTGGGGGGAGAGGGGAAGGCTGAGCAGGGCTCCAGATGCCACCTGAACCACGCCTGTGTGGTCACAGGCCTCAGCCCAGGTGGTGCCATTTCAGGCCAGGTCATCAGGAAGAGCAGGTTGGGGCCTGCTGGGTCTCATTGGAGCAGGGGGTTTGGCCCTCATGGCACAGGGGCTCCAGATGGCCCAGGCACTAGAGAGAGGACACCAACCATTGTTCACTCTGTGATGATCCAGGCCTCCAGCCCAGGATGCCCTGGGGCCACACACCATGACTCAGTTTCTCCAACCCCTGGCCCACCTGGTCAATGTTTCTCTCCACTGTCGTGATGTTGGGCAGAAGCTGGTTGTGCAGCCGGTGCTCCTCCACGGCCCGCTTCATGTCATAGCCGAACCAGAGGTTGTAGATGATGGCCTGGGGCATGGGAGTGTGATCAGCATGGCTTGGGGGCTGTGCGGAGTGGGCAGGGCCAGGGAGAAAAGGGGTGACGCATACCAGTGCAGTGGCTGTGGTGATCTGCGTGCCCCCAGCAGCTCCCACCACCATCCGGACCTGGCCGTCCTGGCCCACCATGATCGTTGGGAACATGGACGAGAGCGGCTGCTTCCCTGCGGCTGATGGGAGAAGACAGGGATGCCCGTCAGCTGCCTGCCCAGGACACCCGCCCCTCTCCACCCCAGTCCCCCACCCCCGGACCTCCACCCCATACCTGGCTGGATGAAATTGGCAGGTGAGGGGGGTACCCCAAACTCATTGGTGATGCTGGGAGAGCTGAAGTCGTCCATTCATTATTGAACAGGATCCCGCTGACCGGGGAGCAGACCTTGGAGCCAAAGCTACCGCCCAGCAGGGTCAGACAGCGCCCGACCTTGCCTGGCCCAGCCTGGTCCCTATCCACCCACTGAGGCTGAAACATACTCACTGAGAGGCCCAGGATAAGCTACCAAGATTGGGCCTCAGTTTCCCACCAGGAAAAGAGGTGATGGAGCCACCTGACTGGATAAGTGGGTGGTCCCTGGGCCACCCACCTCTGGCAGTTTCCCACCCAGGCGGCCCAGCAGCCCCTACTAGAGGTTGATGGTGCTGGTGGCGGACACAGCACTGCCGTCCTCTGTGATGACAGACAGGTGAGCAGTGCCCCTGTCATCCGGCGTGTAGAACTTGGGCTTGTAGTAGGAGATCGTGTGAGTGGTGTTGTCAGAGATCTGGGCCCAGAGCTGGGCAGCGAAGAACTCAGAGGTCATGTTGCGGACCACCTGCCGAGACCCCAGAGCTGGCCTGAGGAGGTGGGGAGGGAGGGTGGGGAGGGGGCACAGGTCTCAGAAGGCCCCTGACTGTGACTCTGACCAAAACCCTCTGGCACCCACAACCTTCCGTGGCTCCCCAGGACCCAAGGGCAGGCCCAGGACCTTGCATGACCAGTCTGACTCCCTGTCTCTGTTGCGTTTCAGCAACTCTGAATGTCTGTCTGCCTGGTCCTCAGCCTCCAGACCCTTGCTGCATTCAATCACTCATTCCTTCATGCAAAAAATATTTCTAGAGTTTGCACTGCATGCCTGGCACTGGGGAATCAACAGGGAACAGACAGTTTTAGGTCCTGCCCTCATGCCAAGAAAAACAAACACACACAGGGAAAGTGCTGAAACCACAAGCCAGGTAAGGGGAATCAAGAGGCATGAGGTATGGGCAGAGTGGTCAGGGAGGGCTTCTCAGAGGAGGCAACGTGTGAAAAGAGCCTGGAATGCGGCCTAAATGGTCAGTGCAAAGGCCCTGAGGCAGGTGGTATAGGCTGGTGAGCGATAGGCAGAGAGTGAATGGAGTGGGGTGGGGAGAAGAGGATGAAGATGCAGGCTGGGGCCCATCCCACAGGACCTCCTAGGTCCCATAAAAACTGGCTTTTGCTCTGTGCCATGCAGGCTTAGGGCAGAGGAATGAGCAGGCTGGGGAGTGTTTTCACAGGGTCCCTCTGGCAGCTATGACGGGGATAAGGATAAATCCCAAAGGGGAGGCTGTGGGTATCAACCAGGCAAGAGATGATGGCCTGGGTGGGAGAAAGAGAAGAATCAAGGATGGTGCTGACTAGCGAGGTAAACCCTGCAGAAGGGGCAGGTTTGGGGATGGTCAGAAGCTTGATTTTGGACACTTCATCAGACCTGAACAGCATGGGTGCAAGTATAAAAAAAATAAATAAATAAGCATGGGTTCACGGGCAAGGGCGGGCTGAGAGATGAACATGGAGGTATTGACATTGAGTGGCTGCTGGATGCCATGAGCCTGGCCAAGGTCCCCAAGGCAGTGGCGAGGAGGAGATGAGGAGGTCAAGGAGGAGACAGAGAGGATGGACCCGAAGGCCGAAGAAAATGCCTCAAGAGAGTTTCCACACCGGGCGCGGTGGCTCACGCCTGTAATCCCAGCACTTTGGGAGGCCGAGGCCTGTAATCCCAGCACTTTGGGAGGGCGGATCACGACGTCAGGAGATCGAGACCATCCTGGCTAACACAGTGAAACCCCATCTCTACTAAAAATACAAAAAATTAGCTGGGCGCGGTGGTGGGCACCTGTAGTCCCAGCTACTTGGGGGGCTGAGGCAGGAGAATGGCGTGAACCTGGGAGGCGGAGCTTGCAGTGAGCCGAGATCGCGCCACTGCACTCCAGCCTGGGCGACAGCCTGGGGGACAGAGCGAGACTCCATCTCAAAAATAAAATAAATAAAATACAATAAAATAAAATAAAATAAAATAAAGTTTCAGCAACACCCCACAGATTAGTTGACCAATCCGAGGGAAAGGTGTTCTGTCTGAAACTGCCCTCAAGGAAACAGAAAGGCAAATCCATGATGTGGGACATTTTCCAAGACTACTGCCCTGGGCTTTAAAAATCAACAAAACAGGCCAGGCACGGTGGCTCATGCCTGTAATCCCAGCACTTTGGGAGGCCGAGGCAGGAGGATCACGAGGTCAGGAGATCGCAATCACGGTGAAACCCCGTCTCTACTAAAAATACAAAAAATTAGCTGGGCGCAGTGGCAGGCGCCTGTAGTCCCAGCTACTCGGGAGGCTGAGGCAGGAGAATGGCGTGAACCCAGGAGGCGGAGCTTGCAGTGAGCTGAGATAGCGCCACTGCACTCCAGCCTGGGTGACAGAGAGAGACTCTGTCTCAAAAAAAAAAACACACACACCTGTAATCCCAGCACTTTGGGAGGCTGAGGTGGGAAGATAGTTTGATCCCAGGAGTTTGAGACCAGTCTGGGCAAGACCCTGTCTCTAAAAAACATACAAAAATTATCCAGGTTTGGTGGCACGTGCCTCTGGTCCCAGCTGCTCAGGGGGCTGAAGTGGGAGGATTGCTTGAGCCATGGAGGTTGAGGCTGCAGTGAGCCAAGATCACACCACTGCACTCCAACCTGGATGACAGAGACTCTGTGTCCAAACAAAAACACAACAAAAACAAAACAGCCAAGGGAGCCTACTGTAGGTAAAGAGAAGGGACAGCAGGTTGTGTCACCCCGACATCCTGCTGTGCTATGTTCAAGTCTCACTTTTGAGACACACCCTGAGGTGTGACATCAGTAACCTACTGTGGAATCCCTCAGAAAAACACGAATCCCAATAGATGTGGGTGGAGATGGAGAGAGTTAGGAAATCCGGCAGAAACGTCCACACTGCAGACTCCAGGAAAAGGGAACATTGATGCTTGGGCAGTTTTGGTTTTTTTTTACATTTTTGTAAGTGCGAAAATTTGCAAAATGAAAACTCGAGGAGAGTGTGGTGAGCTGTGTGAGATGCTGCTGAGTGGGGCTTGATGGGGAAACTGAGGCTGGACATGGCGATCTGGTGGCATGGGGATAGAGCAGGGGAGGGGATACCCTGAAGGGAGAGAGGACATAGCCCAGCCATGTTTGCTCTAAGAGGAGCAAAGGACAGAAGGAGGCAGCAGATAGAAATTTCTAGAGCAACAACAGCTGCCTTTCTTTTGGGAATAATCCGTGATAAAGAAGTAAATCGTCAGAGGCAGAAAGGAGCATTGTAGGAACAGCACCCTGAGCCAGCGAGTAGATGAAAGAGTTGGCCTTAGCCAAAAGGGAGGGCAGAGGGACACGCTGCAGTGGCTCTGTCCCCTCAGAGAGACAAGACATCAGGTCACTGGCTGCAGCGGGAGTCAGAGGTGCAGAATGCTCACGGGGAAAGAGAAGACACCACCCGGGCAGCTGACGCCCCTCCTGGGAGGTCACTGGTCAGTGTGGGGGGCGTCTGCAGATCCACCCAGGAATGCCAAGGACCCAAGTAGGTAAGGAGGAATGTGAGGATCCTCAGCGGGAAGGGATATGACAGGGTCTTATAGGGACCCAGCGTGGAGCTGGAGCAACTACTGAGTGAGTGGGTCAGGTGGTGCAGGGCTGAGGGTGGCATCTGGGAAGCGTTAGTTTGGAGTGACAGGGAGTGGGTGGCCGAGGTCTCTGTTCACCTGGCCCTCTCCCTTTCACCCATCCATCTCACCATGCCCGAGGGCTGCAATGCCCCCATGCATTCCTCATCTCAGCACTGAACACTCGAGAACCACAGCATGTGCAAAGGACCTGAGGTAGGAGGGTGGCCACTAATTCCCCACACTGTCAGTTCTGTGGGGCAGAAGCCAAGACTGGGGGTCACCCACCAGTCCATCCGAGCACACAGTAGGCCCGCAATCAAAGTTCGTGGCAGGAATGGATTCATAAAGCGTATGTGAGGCTGTAGCCACCCTGGGGAGCCCACCTGATGCCTCTACAGCAGGCCCCACACCCACAGTGGGCCAGCCCCTGCCCCTTACCTCAGTCACATTCACAAACTTGGGGTCCCCAAGCAGGGTCCTCTTGGCGTAGGCAAACCAGAAAGCCTCTACGATGCGGTGGTACGTCAGGCCCTTCTGCTCGGGGGTCTCCACACTCTCCCAGGAGAAGTTGTACCCTGGTTGATCAGAGCCAGGTGCATGTTGCTGAGCCCCAGAGGCTCTGAGGGGCTCAGAGGGTTAACACCTGCCTGAGCCACTTTGCCCACCTCAAGGAGCGTTTAATAACCAATAGCAGCAGCTGCTTCAGAAGGCTGTGGTGAGAGTGAAGTAAGGTGAGGGCTCCCGAGCCTGGACCTCACGTCACGCATCAGCTCTGGCCATTCGGTGACCAAGTGGCAGGGTCACCCACTGGACCAGGGTACCCTCTGGACCAGGCCCTGCAGCCCTGAGCTCCTGCACCTCTCTCCTTCCTGATGACTCCTGTTCCTCCTCCAACCCTTGAGCATTGCCCGCTTCAGCCCTGTCGCTCTGCACTGCCTCCTTCAGGACATGGTGAGCTGTGACGCAGGGACACGCCTCGGGAGCTCAGTGATGGAAAGACGTGGCATGGAGGGCGAGCAGAGATGCAGCAGGGGTGGGGCGTGGGGAGAGAGAGGCAGTGTCATGGGTCCTACCACACGGCTGTGGTGCGACCACTCACCTTTGAGGATGTTGAGGATGAGGGCCAGCACGGGCCCGCTGAGCGGCGCACTGGGCATGTACAGCACCGCGTCTCCCAGGCTGATGTTCAGCGGGTGCTCGATCAGCTCAGCACAGTAGTTGTTCAGGTCCTCAGCTGTCACAATGCCCCCTGCGACGGGACAGCAGCTCGAATGGGCACTGGGATGGGGCTGCACCACTGCGTGGAGGATGGAGCTGCACCAGTGGTGTTGGGGGCAGGCATGGCTGCACCATGGTGGTGAGGAAAAGCCTGTACCTACAAAGGAGGACAGAGTGCACTACTGGAGGGGTGGGACTGTGCCCTGGGAGGAGGCCACAGGCAACCTCACCTCCTTGGGAACCTCACCAGCTCCGGCACTCCTGTCTCCCTGACACTGCTCACCACCCGACAGCTGGTCTGGGGCCACCTGCCCTCTGCCTGCTTGGCTTAGTGGCTTCCTGTCTGCCTTCTCTCATCTGTGGCCAGAGAGTGTTTTCTTTTTTTTTTTTTTTTTTTAGAGATAGGATCTTGCTCTGTCACCCAGGCTGGAGTGCAGTGGCTTAATCACAGCCTTGAACTCCCGGGCTCAAGTGATCCTCCAGCAGACCCTCCCCAGTAGCTGAGACTAAAGGCACAACTACACCCAGCAAATTTTAATTTTTTTTGTTGTGTTTTGCTATTTTTTTTTTTTGAGACGGAGTCTCACTCTATCGCCCAGGCTGGAGTGCAGTGGCATGATATCGGCTCACTGCAAGCTCCGCTTCCCAGGTTCACGCCATTCTCCTGCCTCAGCCTCCCAAGTAGCTGGGACTGCAGGCACCCGCCACCACACCTGGCTAATTTTTTTGTATTTTTAGTAGAGACAGGTTTCACTGTGTTAGCCAGGATGGTCTCGATCTCCTGACCCCGTATCCACACGCCTCGACCTCTCAAAGTGCTGGGATTACAGGCATGAGCCACCATGCACGGCCAGGTTTTGCTATATTTCTTTTCACTATGCTTTGAATTTTTTGTTTTCTTGTTCCCCACCCCCACCCCCACTATATTTATGTAGATTCTCAATACTTTTTTGTAGACTCACTATGTTGCCCAGGCTTGTCTTGGACCTCCTGGCCTCAACTTCTACCTCAGCCTCCCAAAGTGTTGTGATTACAGACATGAGACACCAAGCTTGGCCTCAGAGGGCCTTTTTTTTCTTTTTTTTTTGAGATGGAGTCTCACTCTGTGGAGTGCAGTGGTGCAATCTCAGCTCACTGCAACCTCAGCCCCCGAGGTTCTAGCGATTCTCCTGCCACAGCCTCCCAAGCAGCTGGGATTACAGGCACAACCCACCATGCCTGACTAATTTTGCATTTTTAGTAGAGACAGGGTTTCACCATGTTGGCCAGGCTGGTCTTGAACTCCTGACCTCAGGTGATCCACCCGCCTCGGCCTCCCAAAGTGCTGGGATTACAGATGTGAGCCACCACACCTGGCTCAGAGGGCCTTTTCTAACTGGAGAATTCCTGCCGGTGTCCCTGCTGCTTGGCCTCTTCTCCTCACGATGAATGGATAGAGGGAGGGAGGGAGGCTCTTAATTCTCCTGGAGTCAGCTCCAGACAGACAGGGTATTGGCACGCCAATTTCCAGCCTCAGTAGTAAAGGTCGACATGCTAATCACCCTCCTCCATGAAACAGTGACAAAAATTACCTGAAGAAAGCCACAGCCAAGCTCCAGGCCCCTGCCCCACAAATCCCCTTCCCCATGCCTCTCTCAAGGCGACCCTCATCCCTTGTAACCCCCTTGGTGAATCAAAGCCCCCTCTACTGGGCCTTAGCCCAGCTGTTCCTCTGCTAGGAATCCCTTCCTCTCTCTGCCTAACAAAGTTATCTGCAGCCCAGCCGCCACCTCCTCCAAGAAGTCCTCCTGGATCTTCAGGCTGTATTCTAGTGCTTCCCTAGCCCTGGCTCTTGCCTACACCTGCATTTACCCCAACAGGGACTTGCTCTCCTGGACTGTGTGGCCTCTCTTGGTTTTGATATAAGCAGGAGCTGTGGACCCACATGGCTAGTCACTGACCCTCCTCCACCAGGAACTTCCTGCAGGCTCAGGCAAGACAGGAGGACCCCATGGCTCTGGGCTACAGCTCAGGGTTTCCACTGCAGAGTTCCTTACCCAGGCCCTTGAGGTTACCCACTCACGGCCGCCTGGATGTCCTTCACAATCTGGGCCATGAGGCTGCCATTGTAGAAGGCCTGGGCACCCTCAATGGCCAGCGTCTCATAGGTGTCAGCCACCCGCGGCAGGGTCAGTCTCTCCCCCTCCCGAAGCACCTTTCTATCCCGGCAGAACACCTCACTGGGGCAGAGGGGGCTCATGTGAGGCAGCAGGTGGGGTGGACTTAGCTAGACCACCCCCCACACCTGCCCACACAGGAGACCAGCACAAAGCAGGGGCAGCGCCTGTCACAGGTGGGTGGCCCTGTCACTCAGCGCTCATCCTCCTAGTGTCCCTTCCGGGAACATTCTAGTGTCCCTTGCCACTCAGGACACATGGCCAGCCACAGTGGCCACTGGGACCTCACGCTCAGAATGTGTCCCCACGCTCAGAATGTGTCCCCACACGTGGTGGGAAGGGTCTGTATCTCCTCATCCCATTATCAGCGCAGGGTCCTGAAGGCAGAGGGCCGCTCCACTGCTGCTACGGCCTGCAAGGTCCTTGGGCTGTGCCTGCCCTGCCTGTGTCAGGGGGCCGCACCCACAGACATGCCACAAGACAGGCTGCTGCTCGATGACGGTCCGCTTGTTTTCCAGGACTGCCGCCAAGCCCTTGCCCACGGGGAAGCCCTGGCGGGCCAGCTGGATGCTGGGCTGGAAGAGGCGAGCCCAGGGCAGCCGCCCATGCCGCTGGTGTGCCAGCTCATAGCCTCGGATCTCCCCAGGCACTGCCACTGACAGCCCTCCTGGGGAGAGAGAGCCACAGTTAGTGACCCTGAGTGGGGGACATCGGGATCTCTCGCAGGCAGCATCCCAGGCACAGTCCCTGACTCGTTTTACAGATGGGGCAATGAGGCTTAGGAGGAAAGATTTTTTTTTTCTTTTTTGAGTTGGGGTCTTGCCATCTTGCCCAGCCTGATCTCGAACTCCTGGATTCAAGCAATCCTCCCACCTCAGCCTCCTGATTTTTATTTTATTATTTTTTTTAGGAGGGGATGTTTAATTTTTTTTTTAAGAGGGGCTTAGCAGGTAGGAGTGTACATGGACCAGGGATGTCTGAGGAGGGCACAGGAGGGGAAGCAGTAGCATGCGGCTGGGTTTTGCTGTCCCAGGATGAGGTGTCTGTCTGTGCAGGTGCCTGCATGTCTAAAATCCTGTGCCAGGCCAGACCCCCTCCCATCTCACTGACCACAAGGCCTTATCCTGTAAGACTCATGGGCTCCACCAGAATGTGCCAAAACAAGAGCAGATCCCACCCTGACCCAGGTCAAGCACAGGCCACCTTCAAGACACAGCCAGCCCCAAGAAAGGGCTCCCTTCCTCTTTTCTACTGCCCCAGATAGGCAAGACTGAGCCTTAACCTCCATCCTGTCCCCTCTCCCAGCCTCAGTTTCTCCATCCAACTATAAGGGTTTTTGTTTGTTTGTCTGTTTTGAGACAGGGTCTCACTCTGTTGTCCCAGCTGGAGTGCAGTGGTGCAATCATGGCTCACTGCAGCCTTGGCTTCCCAGGCTCAAGCGATCCTCCCACCTCAGCCTCTGAAGTACCTAAGACTACAGACATACCCCACTACATGTGGCTTTTTTTTTTTTTTTGAGATGGAGTTTCACTCTTGTTGCCCAGGCTGGAGTGCAATGGCACAATCTTGGCTCACTCCAACCTCCACCTCCCGAGTTCAAGTAATTCTCCTGCCTCAGCCTCCCAAGTAGCTGGGATTACAGGCATGTACAACCATGGCTTGCTAATTTTTGCATTTTTAGCAGAGACGGGGTTTCACCAGGTTGGTCAAGCTGGTCTTGAACTCCTAATATCAGGTGATCCATCCTCCTCAGCCTCTCAGAGTTCTGGGATTAGAGGCATGAGCCACCACTCCCAGCCTAATTTTTTATTTTTATTTTTTGTAGAGACAGGGGTCTTGCTACATTGCCAAGACTGGTCTCAAACTCTGGCCTCAAGCAATCCTCCCACCTCAGCCTCCCAACATGCTGGGATTACAGGTGCACCCAGTCTATACGGGGTTTTGCCTTCCAGTTCTGACTTTTGAGGAGGTCATTGGAAACAGACCCCTGGGCCTGCTTCCCCCCGAGCCCCACTGCCCATATGGACACTACAGACACTGACCCTTTGCCTAGAAAGGTACAACTATGGCCTCTGCCCCCAGGTACTCTCCTGCTCTTGCGAGAGATGATGGGGCCATTTGGCTTGGCTTGGCGGCTGCAGCTCTAAAACTGCCTCTCCCACCCTGAAGCCTGGCACAAGTTTCCAAGAGCTGGTGGTTTCAATTCCTAAAAGCTGCACATACATCCCGGAAGGTCTGACACCCAGCACATGATTCCTTCCACCTTGTGGTTAGACAGAAGTTCTTTTTTGTTTTGTTTTGTTTTTTTGTTTGTTTGTTTTTGAGATGGAGTCTTGCTCTGTCTCCCAGACTGCAGTGCAGTGGCATGATCTCAGCTGACTACAACCTCCGCCTCCCAGGTTCAAGCGATTCTCCTGCCTCAGCCTCCCGAGTCGCTGGGATTACAGGCACAGGCCAGCACGCCAGGCTAATTTTTGTATTTTTAGTACAGATGGGGTTTTGCCATGTTGGCCAGGCTGGTTTCAAACTCCTGACCTCAGGTCATCCACCCACCTCAGCCTTCCAAGGTGCTGGGATGACAGGCATGAGCCACCGTGCCCAGCCAAGACAGGAGAAGTTCTAATCTTTGATAGCAGACCAGGGTGACGATGCTTAGCAACAGTATTTTGTATATTTCAAAGTAATGAAGAGAGGACTATGGTGCTAACACCCAGAAAGAAAAATATTCAAGGTGACGGAGACTCCAAATACCCTGCCTTGATCATTATACACTCTCTGCATGTAACAAGCACTCACATGTACCCATAAATATAGAAAATATCATGTATCAACATCAGAAAAAAAATCTTCTCCTGACCTCAGGCCAATCAGACTCTCATGCCACCACACTTGCCAAGTTCTCTGGTGACACCCACACTGCCAGACCCAGTGCCCCTCTCAGCTTTACTGGGCTCATCACTCTCCCTGAGAGCCGCCCCTGCATCCCAGCACCTGGCTCCACCCGAGTATCCCCTGCCTGCCATCCTAGCTCCTACTCTCCCCTCTGTCTTTGCTCTCTCTCCTGGTGGTCTGCTTGACATCTGAGCTTCAGCCTCCATTTATGCACTGACAACTCCCAAATTGACCTGCTGGCCTGGACTGCTCCTCTGATCACCAGACCTGAGTATCTACCTGCCTGCTTGAAGAAAGCATCTCAAACTTCAACGTGCCCAAAACCGAGCTCCTGAGTGTCTGCTCAACCTGCTTCCTGAGAACCCTGCCTGCCTCCATTAGGGTCACCCCATCCTTCCAGGTACAGACAAAAGATCAGGGGTCCCTGGGGACTCCCTACACAAGCATCACACCCACCCCATCCTCAAATCCACAGGCTCCACTTCCAAGTGTGTCTGTCCAGCATCAGCCACTTCCCAGCACCCTCTCCACGAATTACTGCAGTGACCTCCGGACAGGTCCCCACATGCTCCCTGCCCCTTACACAGCAATCCAAGGGGTCCATAGGCCAGATCCATCCCCTTCCACTCACACACTCCACGAGCCCCCACTTCCCTCAGACAGGAAGCAGAGGCTTCACCATAACCTAAGAGATCCCGCACAACCTGGGCCATTCCCCTTGGATCACTTGCTGCAGCCTCCCCAGCTCCCCACAGGGCTCTGTCCCTGCCATCACACCTGGATAGCAGACCAGGAGATAACTCCCCCGACCCCATCTCTGCCTCTGGGTCTTTGCTCAGATGTCCCCTTCCCTGACTAGGTCACCCTCCATAGAGTCCCAGATTTTGAGGCCCTCCAGGTCTGTTTTTCTACAGCCCGTAACATACCGGCACCTGCCTAGTTTCTTTTCCCACCTGGAGTGTCACAGATTTCATCTGCCGTCTTTGTTTTTCACCCCAGCTTCAGGAACAACAGCTGATTCTTTAAGACAATGCTCAATACATTCTAGTTAAATAAATGATTCTAAGCATCCACAAGGTGCCAAGCCTATGATTCCCGCATTCTCTTACCCTGAGCAACTTCATGTCTACAGATGCTGAGTTTCTCAATGAGTATTAAAAACAAATGAAAGATTGGTGGGGCACAGTGGCTCACGCCTGTAATTCCAGCACTTTGGGAGGCCGAGGCAGGGGGATCACGAGGTCAGGAGATCGAGGGACCAGCCTGGGCAACATAGTGAAAACCCGCCTCTACTAAAAAATACAAAAAATTAGCCGGGCGTGGTGGCAGGCGCCTGTAGTCCCAGCTACTCGGGAGGCTGAGGCAGGAGAATGGCGTGAACTCAGGAGGCAGAGCTTGCAGTGAGCCGAGATCGCACCACTGCACTCCAACCTGGGCGACAGAGTGAGACTCTGTCTCAAAAAAAAAAAAAAAAAAAGAAAAAAAAATCAAAGATTGAGTATGTTGCAGAAGACTCCAAAGGGCACCACCCAGGACCCCCACCTGAAGTCTAAGACCTGCTATGGTGAGTGTGTCCTGCCCCTCCATCCTCCAACTTTTTTTTTTTTTTTTTGAGACGGAGCTTCGTTCTTGTTGCCCAGGCTGGAGTGCAGTGGCATGATCTCGGCTCACTGCAATCTCCACCTCCTGGGTTCAAGCGATTCTCCTGCCTTAGCCTCCTGAGTAGCTGGGATATTACAGGCCTGTGCCACCACGCCTGACTTATTGTACTTTTAGTAGAGAATGGGTTTCACTATGTTGGCCAGGCTGGTCTTGAACTCCTGACCTAGGTGATCCATCTGCCTCAGCCTCCCAAAGTGCTGGGATTACAGGCGTGAGCCTGTGAAAAAAAGGCCCAACCTTTTTTTTTTTTTTTTGACAGGGTCTCACTTTGTTGCCCAAGCTAGAGTGTAGTGGTATAATCATGGCTCACTGCAGCCTCAACCTCCTGGGCTCAAGTGATCCTCCCACCTTAGCCTCCCAAGTAGCTGGGACCATAAGCACACACCGCCATACCTAGCTAATTTTTTTTTCCATTTTTTTGTAGAGATGGAGTCTTGCTATGTTGTCCAGGCAGGTCTCCTGGGCTCATGCACTCCTCCTGACTTGGCCTCCTAAAGTGCTAGGATTAGAGGTGTTGAGTTGTTGAGACCCTCCCATCCTCCAACTTTTATCTCACAATCTATTGTGCCTCCTTTGGGGTCAGACAGTGGCTTCCTGGATGGACAGTGGCTTCCCTTCAGGTACCTGGGGAATTTGGGGGCCTCCTCTCCACTTAAGACCAGATTAGAAAAGAGAGACTCCACCTCACATTCTAGAGCGCCATCCCCACAAATGAACAAATGAGTGAATGGGATGCCTGTTGAAAAGGCAGGATATAGACAGCCTGGGATCAATTTTAGCTTCACCACCTCCCAGCTGTGTGACCTCAGCTGATTTGCATGACCTGTCTGAGCCTCAGCATCCCCACCCTGTAAAATGGGAATCCACACAGCATCCCCTAGCCCAAAGGAGCAGGGAGGGTTGTGAGAAGCTCGTGGGTGAAAAGCACAGAGCAGAGCGTGGGCCCCAGTGAGCCCTGGTCCATGAGGTCTGCTAGCATAATAATTATTCTTTCCATGTGCTGCACAGAATGGCCCCGGAGGCCTTAGCAGAAATAACAGAAGCTCCCGGCCCTTTACCGTGGTGATGATGGTCCTGACCACTCATTGTGGGAGGGTGCTATGGGGCCAGGAAGGGATGGGGGGTGCTAGAACTGCCCCTGAACCCTGACGGGAGCAGGCTCCTGTGGGCAAGGCCCCTTCCCGGTGGCTCAGCCAGCTCTGCACCCATGCCCCAAGTCTGCAGCATGGCTTACCCTTCTGGGACTGCTCCAAGCTGTTGAACATGCTGGCAAAGGCCAGCCTGGGGGCCACCTCGCGGGCATTGATGACCTCAGCTTTTCCTAGAAGGAGAAGCAGGTAGGCAGGCCCACCCACCCAAACCCTTTATGCCACGTGAGCCTGGGGGCCACCCAGCTGTGCCTCGGCCCAACCCACAACCCCTGCCCCTCTCCCTCTCCTCTTCCGAGGCATTCATGAGAGGTGCTGTTGTAGATGGTGAGGAAGAGGCCACCCCCGATGCTCATGCTGTGGGCATTCATGAGCCCCACACACAACAGGGCTGCAATGGCTGCATCCACCGCAGAGCCACCATCCCGCAGTGTGTCCCTGCCATGTGGCACATAAAGGCACGAGAACCTGCAGGCTTCCACCCTGGCACCGCATACATACCCTGCTGCCTACCTGCCCAAAGGAGGATGGAAGAGAAGTCCATTCGAGTTTTGGGGTTTTTGTTTTTAGTTTCTTTCTTTTTTGTTTTGAGATGGAGTCTTGCTCTATTGCCAGGCTGGAGTGTAGTGGCACGATCTCAGCTCACTGCAACCTCTGCCTCTCGGGTTCAAGCCATTCTCCTGCCTCAGCCTCCTGAGTAGCTGGGACTACAGGTGCATGCCACCACGCCCAGCTAATTTTTGTATTTTTAGTAGAGACGGGGTTTCACCATGTTGGCCAGGATGATCTCTATCTCTTGACCTCATGATCTGCCTGCCTTGGCCTCTTTTATTTTTTTTTTTTTGAGACAAAGTCTCTCTTTGTTGCTCAGGCTGGAGTGCAGTGGTGTGATCTCAGATCACTGCAGCCTCAGTCTCCTGGGCTCAATTGACCCTCCCATCTCAGCCTCCCAAGTAGCTGGGACTGTGGCCACATGCCACCATGCCCAGCCAATTTTGTTTGTTTGTGTATTTTGTAGAGATGGGGTTTCATCATGTTGCCCAGGCTGGTCAAGAACTCCTGTGCTCAAGTAATCCACCCACCTTGGCCTCCCAAAGTGCTGGTATTACAGGCATGAGCCACTGTGCCCAGCCTTTGTTTTATGAGACAGGGTCTCACTTTGTCACCCAGGATGAAGTACAGTGGCACAGTCTTGGCTCAATGCAGCTTTGACCTCCTGGGCTCAAGCAATGCTCCCACTTCAGTCTCCTGAGTAGCTGGGACTACAGGTAAGAACCACCACACTGGGCAATTTTTTGTCTTTTTTGTAGAGATAGGGTCTTTCTATGTTGCCCAGGCTGGTCTCGAACTCATGGTCTAAAGCAATCCTATCGCCTCAACCTCCCAAAGTGCTGGGATTACAGTTTCTTCTTTTTCTTTTCTTTCTTTTTTTTTTTTTCTGAGACAGAGTTTCACTCAGTTGCCCAGGCTGGAGTGCAGTGGCATGATCTTAGCTCACTGCAACCTCTGCCTCCTGGGTTCAAGCGATTCTCCTGCCTCAGCCCCTGAGTAGCTGGGATTACAGGCGCACACCACCATGCCCCGCTAACTTTTTATATTTTTAGTAGGGACAGAGTGCACCATGTTGGCCAGGCTAGTCTCAAACTCCTGACCTCGGGTGGTCTGCCCGCCTCAACCCCCCAAAGTGCTGGGATTACAGGTGTGGACCACCTTGCCCAGACAGTTTCCTCTTTATCAAGCAAACAAATGTACATGACTTTTATAATTGGGACAAAAAGGGAAATTGCTATACTTTATTAATAACATTTTTTTTTCCCTGCTAGAGATGGTGGCTTACACCTGTAATCTCAGCACTTTGGGAGGCCAAGGTGGAGGATCACTTGAGGCCAGGAGTTCAAGACCAGCCTGGGCAATAGAGTGAGACCGTCTCTACAAAACAGTCTTTTTAAATTAGTCAGGTGTGATGCACGCCTGTAGTCCTAGCTACTCAGGGGGCTGAGGTGGGAGGATCGCTTGAGCCCAAGAGTTCAAGGCTGCAGTGAGCTATGATCATGCCACTGCACTCCAGCCTGGGTGACAGAACAAGACCCTGTCTCAAAATATGAAAAACATAATATTTTTTCTGTTTAAGTCTTTAGAAGGGAACTGATCTTTATATATAACATGAGATAAGAGCCCAAAATAGAATAAAACAGTAGAAGCCAGGCACCATGGCTCACACCTGTAATCCCAGCACTTTAGGAAGCTGAGGCGGGAGGATCACTTAAATCCAAGAGTTTGAGGCTGCAGTGGGCTATGATCGCTCCCCTATACTCCAGCCTGGGTGACAGAGTAACACTCCACCTTAAAAAAAGAATAAGCCCTTCATGTCCCTGTTTGGGCAACAGCGTTCCTTCGGGGGAGGGGGGAGGGATGGCATTGGGAGATATACCTAATGCTAAATGACGAGTTGGTGGGTGCAGCACACCAACATGGCACATGTGTACATATGTAACAAACCTGCACATTGTGCACATGTACCCTAAAACTTAAAGTATAATAATAATAAAATAAAATAAAAAAAAGAAAGAAAGAAATTGTCTCCTAACCAAAAAATAAAAAGAAAAGAATAAGCCGGGCATGGTGGCTCACACCTGTAATCCCAACACTTTGGGAGGCCCAGGTGGGTGGATTACCTGAGGTCAGGAGTTCGAGACCAGCCTGACCAACATGGTGAAACCCCATCTCTACTAAAAACACCATAATTAGGCCAGGCACAGTGGCTCACACCTGTAATCCCAGCACTTTGAGAGGCAGAGGTGGGAGGATCACAAGGTCAGGAGTTCAAGACCAGCCTGGCCAACATAGCAAAACCCTGTCTCTACTAAAGATACAAAAATTAGCTAGGCATGGTGGCACATGCCTGTAGTCTCAGCTACTGTGGAGGCTGAGGCAGGAGAATCACTTAAACCTGGGAGGGGGAGGCTGCAGTAAGCCAAGATTGCACCACTGCCCTCCAGCCTGGGTAACAGAGCAATACTCTGTCTCGGAAACAAACACACACACACACACACACACACACACACAAATTTGTTGGGCGTGGTGGCACACACCTGTAATCCCAGCTACTTGGGAGGCTTAGGCATGAGAATCGCTTGAACTTGGGAGGCGGAGGTTGCAGTTAACTGAGATTGCATCACTGCACTCCAGCCTGGCAACAGAGCAAAACTCCATCTCTAAATAGATAGATAGATAGATAGATAGATAGATAGATAGATAGATAGATAGATAGGAAGAAATAAGTAAAAATAGCAACCAAACAACAAAACAGTGGAGTTTATCCAAAGAGACAGAGACTCTTAGAACTGAGAAAAGGGGCCTGTTTGGCTCTAGAGACCCACACCCTGCTCTCGGAGTCACCGTCCCCTTCCCAAAGGCTACTGAGGGAGTCCAAGCGAAGCTTACATGTGGGGAAACTGAGTCTCAGAGGGGTGAACGTATTGCTCAGGTCCACTTGCCCAGTTTTCAGGGCCCATGTCCCATGCCCTGCCCCGCTCACCTCCCAATCTCCGAGCACTGCTTGGCATCTGCAGCCACGGCAGCCCTGGTGTACACATGGTTGTCAGGTTCCTTGGAGGCTGAGGGCAGCCAGAGACAGAGATTGACAATGACCAGCACCAGGACCACGGCCAGCAGGCCCAGCACCACTAACTTCTTCTTCATGGCTCTGCTGCTCCCACGGGGTAAGGAGCAGGGTCAGGCCCAGCCTCAGACATTCCCTGGCCCCTCCCCAACAGGGCACAGTCTAAAGTCGGGCCTCAGAAACACAAGGCCTGTGTCTCCTTCCTGCTTCCCAGAATACGTACAGGCTGTCCGGCCCCCAGACCTTTGTGCAGGCCATGCCCTCTGCCAGAAGCTCTGGGCCTCATCTCTACCCTCCCAAATCCTCCCTGCTTGTCTTCAGAGCCCATCCTGGTAAGAACCCCATCTCCAGCAGTGGCCCTTCCTGGGAGCCCCCAGATTTCCACACCCCTCTTTCTGCAGGGCCTGGCCTACCTCCTCACAGTGGCTGAGCCTCCACTGCTTAGGGAGAAGCTCCAGCAGGGATGGGCCTGGCCTGGTTTCTCCTGTGTCCCCCACCCCAGCCTAGAGCCTGGCACTGTCCAGGAGTCCTCTGAAGACCCTCCACCCCACCTGGAGCATGGGGTTTAGCTTCCATAGTGCCCACAATCAGAGTGCCCCACAGATTCACTGCCACGGGGCCAGGACTTACCGTCCAGCAGCAGACGGGGGCCCCAAGCCTTGCCTGGGGTGTTGGCCACGAAAGACAGGAGGATTTGGTGGAAACAGCTGAGGAAATAACTGGGGTCTCCCTCACACTCTGCTGAAGCCTGTAGCCACAGAATCTTCTTCAGAGACTCTCTGATCAGGCAGCCTTCTCGTTCTCCTGAAGGTCAAGGGAGGTTACCTGAAGCACGCACAGCCCAGACCTTTCTGGGGGACTCCGGGTTACCTCCCTCTGCCTCTAGCTGGTTTCTCTGTCTCCAGTTGAACTCTGGAGGCAAAGAGGCTGTCAGTAACACATTTGTTTCCATGAATTCTCTCAGCATTTCTCCCAGGCACAGCTCAAAGAGGGTTTTGCACGGAGCAGGGCAGGTAGGGGACAGGGCATTCCTGCAGAAGCCCAGGATGTGCATGTGGTAAGCATGGCAAAGGGGGCTCAAGGGGCACCGCCAGCCTTCCCTGCTCTGATGCTGGACTTGCCACTCACCTGCTGTGGGGCCTCAGGCAAATCACTGAACTGTCCAGCCTGGAAGATGGCAGCACCTCACTTGCCTTGCTGCTGGGAGTGTTGTGAATAGAGTAGGTTAGACTGTGGGCAGGACTTGGTGAATGGTAGCTGTGATTATCATCATGGCTGCACTGGGGACACCCCCAGGAGGCCTGAGTGGCACAGGTCTCTTGCTCACTCTATGTCCCCTGTGGACTCCCTTCCAGGCTGTGCAGTGAGTGGCAGCAGTGACCCTTGGGAAGTCTCATGGCTATGGCAGCAAGTGACAGGTGTGACAACAGGGAAGAGGGATGTGGTGACAGAGGTTGGGGTTCCCCTCTCCCACAGTCAGTTTCCCACAAAGGGCGGTGTCTGCCAGCAAGCCCCTCCAATGAGCCCCAAGCTGGGTTTCCCTCCACTCCACCCTGTCCCAGTGCAGAGCGTCTGACCTCAGAGGCAGACACACTGTCCCAGAGGTGGTCTACGAATGGAGTCCCTGTGCCCTCCCCACACACAGGGAACATCCAAATGCCATCGTGGAAGGGTGGCCACCTCCCCAGGCTTGGTGGGCCTGGGGCTGATAGTGTGATACATTTGACCCCCTCCCAGCCCTGGATGCAGACACCAAGAGCAGAGAGACCTGGCAGTAGCCACACAGCAGCGCACCACCGCACATCCCCAGCACAATCCAAAGCAGCCCCTCATCCCCACCGTGACCACCACAGCCTGAATCCAGGCGCCACCTGTTTCTGATCTGAACTCCCTCACAGCCCCTGCCTGCACTCCCTCCCTCCAACATCACCTGCCCTTCAGTCTTCCAGAAAGCAGCTAGAGGGCTCTGTCTGTCCAACTACAGAACAGGCCCTGCCTCCTCCTTGCCCCGTTGGACAGCTCACACCCTTCACCAAGCCTGACAGCGCTCCTGCCACTCCAACACCCTGGGTCCCAGCCGGGAGTCCGGGTCAGGGTTAAGGGTTCCTGATAGAGACACCGATTCCTGGAGGTCCAAAGAGCCTCAGGAGCTGGGCCAGCAATATGCAGCATCTATTATGGACACAGAACATTCCCATCACATGGCCGGGTGCAGTGGCTCACGCCTATAATCCCAGCACTTTGGGAGGTAGAGGCAGGTGGATCACCTGAGGTGAAGAGTTGGAGACCAGCCTGGACAACATGGTGAAACCCCCATCTCCACTAAAAATACAAAAAATTAGCCTGGCATGGTGGCAGGTGCCTGTAATCCCAGCTACTCAGGAGCTGAGTCAGGAGAATTGCTTGAACCCGGGAGGTGGAGGTTGCAGTGAGGCAAGATTGCACCACTGCACTCCAGCCTGGGCAACAAGAGGGAAACTCCGTCTCAAAAAAAAAAGCAAAAAACAAAAACAAAAGGACATTTCCACCACAAGTCATGGGGCAGGGGCCTGGCCTGGTCAGTGACCCTGTCCTAGCATGACAGCCCCCTGCACCAAGGAAGCTATCCAGTCCCGTCCACTGGGCCGGGTCATGCTGAGTGCCCTGGAGGGCATGGCCTCATCTCTCCCAGGCTCAGGGTCATGAGCTGAGCCCCCAGTCAGGATCCTGGGGTGGTCCAACCATGACCCAGCCTCCCCCGTCTGTTAATCTCTCTACCCAAAGGCCCAAGTAGGCACCTGGAGGAGCAGGGGGCACCCAGCCAGGCTCAGACTGCTGGGAAGAACAGGGAGGGGAGTAGGCAGTGCTGGGCCCTGTCCCTTCCTCCCAGAGCAGGTCAGCAAGGGAGGGTGGGCCCAGCCTCCCACAGGCAGATGTCCACGGCTCGGAGGAAGACACCCTGCTGAGGTCCTGGGCTTCCATTTCCCATCCCTCCACCCTCAAAACTCACTGAAAGAATGTCCAAGCCCAGAGGCCTGGTTCTCACCCAAACAGTGTGAGAGCTGCACACACTAGGGGAAACTGAGGCTAGAAAGTAGGTCAGCTGCCATGGTTGGCCTCAAACCCAGACCCCCTTCCTTGTGACCCTGATGGGCTTACCTGAGGCCTGGGGACAGTGGGGGCCCAGGAGAGCACCTCTTCCTCAGAAGACAGTTCTGGGCTGCACCTGCTGGGGAGGAAGAGACAGACTTGTCTGCCTGGGAAAGTCCCAGCCACAGAACTGGCTGGGCACCCCCACTCTCCAGAGTGGCTCAGAGCCACGCCTGCGGCCCCCTGCAGCACTCCTCAGGGGGCCTCCAAATTGGGACTGGGATCTGGGGGTGGCCACCTCCGAGGAGGAGCAGAGGCAGGGAAAGAGCAGGAGCGGCCGGAGGACCCATGAGCTTACCTAGTCCAAGAGACCAGCCAGGGGGTGCCCAGCAGCCCTGGTGGACAGTGGGAGGCATCCGCACAGGGTGCAGGACAGGCAGGCCTCTCACAGAGATCCAGCCTGGCTGGGAGGATGGGGAAGCTGACGTCACAGCAGCAAGGAGGCGCACAGTGACTTGGCACGGTGACTCGGCCTGTCATCGCATGACTAAAGTTCACGCAGCCCTGGCAGGGCCCTGGATGGCAGGTGCTATGAGCCGGGGAAAGGGTTTCCTTCCTTTCAGACTCAGTTCCCTCCAAAGGGCACTGTCTGCCCACGAGCCCCTCCAGAGAGCCCCAGGCTGGGTCCCTCTGGCTCTCCCTGTCCCTGTTCAGAACATCTGAACTCACAGCCAGTGTCCCAGAGATGGCTCTGGAGGCGGTGGAGTAGTGGTGCCCCTGGCACTAGACCAGAACCCAGACTAAGGGGCCTCACCACACGCTGCTGTCAATGCTAAAGGTGTGTTCCAGGAACATGGCCTGGGGCCCTGAGTGCAGACTGGTTCTGCTGCCCATCCAGAAACATTAGCACCCCAGGCCCAAGGAACCACCTGAACAGCCCAGAAAGGCAGGGCCCAGAGAGGGCCTGAGCTGGCCCAAGCTCACAGAGCCCAGCAGTGCAGACTTGGCCACCTGGTAACTGCCCCAAGTTACTGCATGTTTCTGACCAGCCCACCAAGAAGTCTGAGCCAGGAACAGCTGCGGACCCAGCCCAGGGGACTTTGGACAGTGCTGCCCATTCCCCTGTGGCCCTCATCTGCCAAGGATATGGGCCAGAGTCTCCCTGAGTCATGGCTCCCTCCCCTGATCCTGGTCTACAGTGCCGGAGAGCCCCTGCAGCCTCCACCTGAGGTCTATTCCGTGCCCATAACACCTACCCCACAATCATCCTTCCAAGCTGCCCCAAGCTGACAGAAGGGGACATGAAGGCTGACCCAATATTGCTGCCTGCCTGGGTCACATAGGCCTGTCCTGTCATCCACTGCTCTCAAATGGGCTCTGGACAGAACCCACCAGACACACAACTGTGAGATCCTCAATAGCCCTAGGGTGGAGGTGCTATGACCAAGCCCTTTCTCAGGCTATTCCTCCCCCTGAAGATCAGGGTGACTAGGAAGATGACAGGGCAGGAACCAAGGCCCCATGACCTGTCCCTGAAGGCTAGACAGCCAACAGGAACATCAGGGGATTTGGCCCTGCTAAGTGGCTGAATTCCATGGCAGTCAGCCGGGAGGGGTCTAAAGTGGAGAGCCATAGGGCTCTGTCCCCTGCCCTGCTCAGCAGTTTCCTCTCTGCCTGAGAGCCTATAAGACATGCATGTTCTCACTCATAGGTTGGAATTGAACAATGAGAACACTTGGACACAGGAAGGGGAACATCACACACTGGGGCCTGTGGTGGGGTGAGGGGAGGGGGGAGGGATAGCATTAGGAGATATACCTAATGTAAATGACAAGTTAATGGGTGCAGCACACCAACATGGCACATGTATACATATGTAACAAACCTGTACGTTGTGCACATGTACCCTGGAACTTAAAGTATAATTTTATATATAATACTATATATATTTATAATATATTATATTATATAAATTACATAAATATAATAATTATATAATATATTATATATATATATATATATGACATACAGGATTCACAGCAGCAGGTGGGCAGGAAGAAAGTCTGAGTGGGTAAAGGATGGCCCAGATCCCTGCAGCTGACCCCAAAAGGAAAACCCTGGGCTGGGGAAAGTAGGGAGACAGAGCTGCCTTCCATGGGGCACAGCTGAAGCCTGGCAGCAGCTGAGGATTCCAGAGAGGGGAGACAGGAGGGGAGGCACTTTATCAAAGGACATGTTAATAGAGGTAGGGCCTACAGAATGAAGGAGGCTTTTCCTCACTTGCTGAGTGTGTCACATTCTGTCCCAGTCAGCCCTCTACCCCCTGAATGCAGAGAGGGCACCTAGGGGGAAGTGGGTCTGGGGAAGCCATGTCACCTGAGGAAAGACTGCAGGGGCTGGCCTAGAAGTCTTCTCCAGACCCCACAGCTCTTGTCCTGGGCACATAAGGTAGTGAGTTCCCTGTCCCGAGAAATGTGCAAGCCTCACTCACCCGGAGACACTGACTCTGGCGTCAATACCACCCACTTCCAACACACGTGCAAGCACGTGCACACACACACAACTGAGCCTCATCTAGGCTGAGCAGAGCAGCTTCCCAGGATGTAGCAGAGAGAGGAGTAGGAGGAAGAGGTAGACACGGCAGCCAGTCTGAGGTTTCCTGGTTAATCCTTCAACCCAGCTTGATGGCTTTGTCACCACAACCCCAGAGCCACAAGGGTGAAACCAGAGCACAGCCCCAACCCCATTCACAGGCAGGAAACTGAAGCTTAGACAAAAGGGATTTACCGAGGTCAGCTGGCCCCAGGAAGTCTGCAGACCTGTGGGTGAGCCTGGGACCCACCCACCCCTTACCCTGCCAGCCCCCAGCCTGAAGTCGCTATCCCTGGATATGAGAATGTACAGATCTCTGGCAGCTTCCCCAAGACCGTCTACACCCCTGGACTGGATGCTTACTACCCAGAAGTGGAGTTGGAATCTGTCTCTCACAGTTTCCACCCTTGCGGCACAGAGTTGAGAATCAGAAAAAACACCCCTTCAGTAAGATTTAATAACCACAACCTGCTGGAAACCTGTCGAAAGAACTATATATATCCCTATATATATAGCTGAGAGGTGGCAGGTGCCCCCTGGAGTTGGGCAATGACCCCTCGCACAACCGGCCCTGCCCTACCCCAATCCACAGCCACAAACAGAACCCAGGAGCGAGGCAAGCATGGCCCAAGGACACAGGGTCCCCCAACCCCATCACAGCTCTGGCTCTACTCCAGAGCTGACCCCCCACCCCCACTCAGGGCTGCCAGATCCTCCAGGGCCTGTTTGTTCATGCTTCACTCTTTCCTCTTAATTCCAAGAAGCCACGGCTCTCTCAAGAGCTTCTTCGCACAAGTCAGGTGACTCCCCCCAGCCCTCCTTCACCCACCCGCATACCTCACTCAAACTCACATAAACTCGTCAGCCAAGAAACAGAGGCCCCCCCAGCCCAGACCCAGTCAGATAAAGAACCCAGGGCTCTCCCCTTCTGTGGGATCCCTCTGCAGGATGCGCCCACACAAGTCTTGCCCCCTTCACCCCGAAGTGCAACTCACTCCCACTGCACGGGTACATAAACCGAGGCTCGGAGAGGAAGAGGAACTCCTCTAGAGCGCAGCAAGCATATGGCAGAGCTGAGAATGGAACTCAGGCCTCCAGACACTCATGGGAGTGCCCTGACCTGAGCTTCCCCACCTATGATGTCCACCAGCTCAGAGAGGGTGTGTGGCGCCTCTGGGTCACACAGCACTGGGGCGCAGCCAACTGCTCTCACTTCTGGGCTCACCCGACGCCCGGTCTGGTCGTCCAGCAGCACACCAAAACCAAGCTAAGATTCCCTGCTGTGACCCAGCTCCTCCTTCCCTCCCCCAGTGGCCTGGGGGTGGGGCGGGGGGAGGGGAGGCTTTAAAGGCACAGGAACTGCTGCAGGTGGGATGTGGGCTGGCTCCTGGTCCCATCCCTGGGGCTGTGTGATCTGGGACCGCTGCAGGCTGCAGGTCTCTCTGAGCCCGGTGGGGTCTCAAACCCTGAATGAGAGACCTGAACTCTGAAAGCCTCGGTGGGGCTGAATGAGGCTGGGTTTCAGCGGGAGGCAGATTACACCAAAGGTTCCCTGGGAGATGGGGCCACAGAGCTGGGCTGCAGCCAGATGCCCATGCCAGGAGGAGCTGGAGATGTAAGCATCTGAGGCCCCACAAGGTCTGAGGAGCCTAGATCACCTCTACAACCCCAGGGCAGGGGATGCTTCTCCTAACAGGTCCTCTCCCCAACTTTCAGGGCTATAGGCTGGGCTCTAGGAGATGTCACTCCAAGGACCCTGCTCACCTGGACTGAACAGAGTCACATGATCCAGGAGGGTCCTTCCTCAACCCCCAGTTTCAGGGGTCTGAGCAGACAGGCTGACCGAGGACCCCAGGCAACGGAAGCAGGGGGATGAGGCCCATCTGTCCATCATGCCCTCACCTGCTCTGCCCCATTCAATGAGAAGAGATGGGGTGGGTGCCCCCACAGGGCTGGCAGGCCGAAGCCTCTAAGCCCTCAGATCAAGGTCCACACATGGTCTGCAGCCTGCCAGAATTGTCACTCTTAGCAAGGCTAAGAGTGGCAACACAGCACCCTCCATGGCCCATCAGGAAGGACAGGCAGAGACAACAACAAATTGTAGGGATGTGAGAATGAGGGATGGAGAGGCCCTTAAGGCTACACTATGTGAGAAGTTGAAAGAACTAGAGATCTTTAACAGAGAAGGGGCATACATTTCATGTATTTGAAAGGAAATGACGCAGACTTCTCTTTGGTTTTTCCATGGGCAGATCTCAAAAGGGAAATTACAGGAAAGTGAACTTTTCAACAATCAGAGCTGCCCAAAAGTGGAACTGAGGCTTGTGGAGTGAGTAGCTCTCCCTCCCTGGAAGCATTCTGGCAGAGGTTGAGTGCCACCTGTGAGGGAGAGGAATAAGGGCTACACCACGGGGTCGAGGAAGGGCCAGAGGAGGAATGATTCAGTTTGGAGACAGGAAAGTCTTGTCTGGGCTGGGCTGGGAGCTAAGAAAGAAGGGGGATGCAGATGCATAAGACCAGAAAATGCCTTCTAGGTAGGAACTCTGGGTGTGGAGCTGGTGTAAGCCCAAGATTCAGGGTGCAAACTGCAAACCCAGAAGAAGATTCAGGAGCTGCCATGAACCCTGCCTTGCCACATTTTGCTAACCACAGCTGCCCTGCTCCTTGGTGAAGATGCTATCCACAGAAGCAGAGTCAAGGATGCTTCCATGAGTCTGCCATCAGCAGCAGGACCCACTGCAGGTAAAATGGATGGGATTGCAGTGTGCTAGGGTGATGGTCTGTGTACCTGCACCCACACTCAGCATGCACCTTGCAGACAGTCTCTCCACACCAGCCCCACAGAGCCCCACCCACCCCCAGGCAGTCTCTGCACTAAACCCACTGGCCCAGGACAGCCGTGCCCTGCGGCCTTACCTGGCTGTTTCACAGTGACTTCTGTGCGCCCAGAAACCTCCTCTGCCAGCTTGTACCAGGCGTAGTTGGGGCTCAGCAGCCACTACTCCATGTGGCAGTAGTAGCTGCCGCTGTCGCTGACCTCGGCTCTCTGGACGGTGAGGCTGAACAGGTCCCCCGACACATGCCTCTCAAACTGGAGCCTGGCTCTCAGGCCCTCCTCCTCCACGTAAGTACCGTATTCGAAGGCGGAGTTGTGGGTGGTCTTCAGGATAAGCTTGCCGTTGGCATCTGAGGGCTTGTGGACGTACCAGAGCACCGCAAAGTGGGAGTTCTGGCTGGTCTGAGACTTGACTGAGCAGTTCAGCTGAATGGGCTTGTTTTCCACCAGGGTGAGGGTCCTCTTCGATTTGCTCACCTGCAGCTTTGTCACTGCAAAGGAAAGGGGAACACAGGAATCACCACAGACTCCCAGAAACGTGGCCCATCCACCTCGAGGCTCTGAGTCAGTTTTCCTCCAGCACAGTTCCTGGGGGATTTAACACCGACTGGCTTCAGTGTGAGGAAGGCAGCACGGAGCCCAGGCCACCGCTAAACATCCTTCCCTGTCTCCTCCTTGCCATGTGCCTGGCTTAGGCCTTCACCATCTCTCCCCTATCCACTGCCTGCACAGCCCACCATCACAGGGCCTCTGAGGGTGATCCTGCTGAAATACAAATCTAGCTATATCAGGTCTCTGCTTGAAAAGTTTAATGGCTCTGAACTACCTACGGGCTAGAGAGAAACAATTCCTTTTCACAGCACAAAGTCCCTTCAGGATCTGGCCTGCACCCAAGTGTCCTGACTCATCTCTCACGACTCACCCTCAGGCACCCTCCACAGGCGCACGCCCCTGGTGCAGTTTCCCTGAGTGCTGGCCTTTGCCCTTGCTGTCCTCTCTGCCTGTCTCCTTCTGCCACCTCCCACCCTCACCCTTCTCTCCACTTATTCCTCATTCCCATCCCCCTGGGCTCCATACCCTTCCTCAGCACCCTCTATATATCTCTGGGCTGTGTGTCTTCACATCTCTCTCCCATATCCTAGATGGTGAGCTCCCCCAGGGCAGGGATCAAGCTCTTTCCACTCAATCAACCAGTATTTACGGAGTGCCCACTCAGTTTCCCACAGGATGCTAAGTGCTGGGGATGCCCTGAAGAGTAAGCCAGAGTCCCAGCCCTCATGGGGCGGACGGCCTAGCGGACATTCTTATCGCTGCACCCCCAGAGCCTAGCACAACACCTGGGCCAGGAAAGCATTTGATCAGTGTTTGCTGAAATAGGTGAATGAGTGGGTGAGCGAATGAGAGCACGTTGGAGAAACACGGCAACAGGTAATTAGAGGATGCTGCGGGGGTGGGGAGGGGGGGCTTCCTCTAGGGGAGTGAGAGAGAAGGCTGAGAAGACAGTAAACCACGGGACAAGGCAAAGCCAACTGCAATCCTCCCTTCTCCTCACTGTCCCGCTCCAAAAACAGACAAGAGGGCAGCCTGTGGAGCGCCTCCCCAGCAGCTAATTAATGATGATGTTCACCTTGCCAGTGGCAAGAAGCCAAGGTCTAATGAAATCCATGTTAGGAAGGTGATTTGAGATCTCACCCACCCCATCATCATTAACCTTGGCTCTGCATTCCCCCACCCACGCCTCTCCTGCTACTAAAAATGAAAAAAAAAAAAAAAACAATTCTAAGTTCCTCTTAGGGAACTAATAGCACAAGCATTGTTCCACCTCCACCACTCTCTTCACACTTAGTTTTTCCGCCACAGGGACCAAACCACTTCCCAGCTGAGAAAGAAAGCAGGGGCAAGGTGCAGATTCCACCCAGGGACAGCAACCTAGGCCTCCTCCAACCGATCTTGTGTGGAGGGCAGGGGCAGGGGCAGGGCAGGGGTGCCTGGCCAGGCTCCAGCACTCTGCTGGTCAGACTCTTGTCTCTTTAGTCCAGCTCAACCCCAGGAACTGCATCCAGACCCAGGACCCAGCCCACTGGTCATGACCCTGGCCTGCCAGCTGGCTTAAGCTTGGTTTGGCAGCATCAAGGGTTGATTGAGTCCCATGCATCACAGAACCAAAACTTGTGAAAGCCACAGACTGCCACTTGGTCTCCCTGTAACACACAGACAAATGTTCTGAATGGATGGAAGGATTTAGTAAGCCAAGGTGTGGCAAAGTCCAATTCCCAATGCCGTGACTGAGCAACACTGCGGAGCATCTCCCGGCGGTGAATCAGACATTCTCTCCAGGAAGACTTGTTGAATTCACAAACCCACAGACCTTCTCACGCCATCAAGAACACACCAGGCACCACTTAGAGAGAAATCCTGTGTGCCACGGCCCCACCCTCCCGGGTTCATCTTTTTTGTTAGCAAGTCCAATCTTCTGCCTTCTCCCTTCTTCAAATGCAGAAAGTCCTCTAGGGCACACTAGGAATCCAGGACAGGGTTTACCATTAAGCTCCCAAGCTCTGGAAGCTAGATTTGCATTCGCTTGCCAGTCGACTTTTCAGATTGGATTCCTATAATACTTGAAACAACCGGCTCCCTTTTCATTCCTTTCCAACCCAATTCACCGCATGCAAATGATATCTATATCAGTGCAAATGACACCACCTGAATTATCTGGTTCTTGGCCAAAAAAACTGGGTTGTTCAGCATGGAGTAGAAAGAGCTTTAAAATGTATTATTAATTGGGGCTGGATTATTTTTGCAACTGTTACTAAGGAAACCTCAATTGCTATAGTAACTGCATATGTTAAACTGGAATCCTGTGACTAAAATTCTATTCAGTCACGTGGTCTGAGAACAAGAATTCAAGGAAGAGAAATGTTCCAAAGCATTTCCATTTTTTTTCCTTCCCATGTCAAAATATTGTGAAGTGTTGAGAAGCTTGAAAGAGAGACATTTTTTAAATTTGGTGCATGTCTGACAGGTGGGCAAGGGGTCAGCTCCTATTCTATGCTCTGGATTTCCTCCCACATCTCCAGGGCAGGTAGGACCTTTCCTGAGGCACAGGGGAGACTGGAATCTCCACATATAATTAGGGAGCCCTCCCATGTCCTGCCAGAGCCCTGCCCTGGGCGGTGTACAGCTTGCGTGCACCACCTTCCTCCACAGAGCTAGGAGAGCCCTGCCCACTTAGAGACCAAAGGTGTTTTCATCTGCAAAATAAGAACAATGTCTCTATCTCCATTAGGAGTTTTGTGCAGACTAAAAGCAATTGTCTATAAAAAGAGTTTAGCACAGAACCTGGGATATAACAAACACCCAGTGAATTTTAGCTATTCTCATTCCTTTTTGGTTTCTGTGCCTTGTCCCAAGTTCAAAGTTCAACACTTAGATTAGGAGTTGTCAAGCATAAGTGGCAATCTTCCTGCTCAAAGTGCTGTTCTTGGACCAGCAGCACTGGGAGCTTGTTAGAAATGCAGACTCTCAGGCCCCACCCCAGACCCAGTAAGTCAGAATCTGCACTTTAACAAGATCCCCAGGTGATTCACAAGTAGCTTCAAGCCTGAGAAACCCCGGACTTGGCCGTGTGAGTGAACGGGCTTTGAGAGGCCATAAATGCAGACGTGAAAGAAAAGAGTGAGGCTTGGTTAACCCCCAACAGTGAATTGGCAGGAGGAAGAAAGAATCCAGCAAGAGACAGGAAGAGGGTCCGAGAGCTGCTCCAGCTCACGCCAGCAGCTGCCTTCACAGCAGCCCCCAGGGACCAGGCCCTGCTTTGAGGGAGTGGCCCTTTCTTTCTGCAGCTGGAGAGTTTCCTTCCCAGGCTTGTGATTAAAACTTGGAAGATCTGTGTTTTGTATGGTAGGAGAGGCTGTTGCATTTGTTACAAGCCAGGATAGGGTGGTTTCAAGGTGAGACATCAGGAAGAGGGAAGAACTCCACAGCGGAGACCAGCAGCAGCTTTCTCAGCCAGCCTACCCTCCCTTCAGATTCCACTCTGTGCGTGCTCTTCTCACTCAAAACTCATTTATTTCTTCAATAAAGGATTCCCTTATGCTCCACTATAGCTGTTACTGCTGCCTTACAACGAAGGTAATTTTTAAAGTCTTCTCTTTCTTACAAAATTCTAAGCATATGCAGGGCAGGGACTCTGACCCAATCATTGTTAAACTAATCAATGAATGGTTGAATAAATGTGGTTACTTTTTAAAAGGAGGGGCAATTCTGATTTTGATAGAAAAGAGAACATTTCAAAAGGTATGTGGCCTCTGAGCTAGGCCCTGAGAAACAAGCAGAGAAGGAGAGTGAAAGGGCATGCCAGAGAGAGGGGACAAGTGAAGAAAGATAACAACTACCCTGTGCACTCTATTCAAGGAGGAGCAAGTGCTCAGGTGTAGTGGATGAGGTTAGAAAGGTAAGCTTCGGCCACACTGCAAGGGGCCTGCAGCTTGTACTTGATCCTGACCACCTGTGGCCCTCAGGGTGCATGCCATGGATCTGCAGATCAGTATCACCTGGGAATTTGCCAGCCCCTGCTAAGTCAGAAAAACTGTGAGTAAGGCTCAGCAACCTGCAGGCTCATGAGCCCTCCAATTGATTCTGATGCACATTCAAGTTTGAGAAGCAACAGCTGTGCTGCTGAGGTGGTTGCCGGTAAGTCTGGAGAAAGCGGTTTCTGTGCAGTGGTGTGAGCAGCAGCCAGAGTGGCAGGTGCAAAGAGATGGGCACTGAGGGAGGAAGACACTGCTCTTTATTAAAGACAACAGACAGTAATGCTAGAGATAGAGGTGGCCAGTGGCTGCGGCAGGAGAGATGTTTCAAGTGGAGAGAAGCAAGTCAGATGAGAGACAAGGAAAGAATGCAGGGTGAGCTGCATGGGAAGCCAGTGGCACAGGCGCCTGCCACTCAAACTGTTACTACCCCTGAGTCCCTCTGTCCTTAACACCCCTTGGCTCCCTGCTCTCTCCACATGACCATTCCCTATTTGGGCCCTCAATGATCTCTTTCTCAGCCTCTTATAATTGGCCTGCATATGACACTCCCTCCCTCTCGGCCTAGCCACAGCCAGGGGATTTCCCTAAATGGCAAATGGGGCATGCTACTGCCCACGGCTGCCCACCCCACAGCCCGTGACAGCAGTTCTCAATAAGGCAGCTAATTGCAAGCAGGTCTCTGGTTGCCATATTGATTTGGGGAGGGGTATATATTCAATGGAATAAAGCCATTAAAGATGTAAAATCGTATCTGGGACAACTCCATGCAACAAAACTCTGCCTCGTGTCCTGTGTGACTTTCGAATGACATTCATATGGGCAAAAATTATGCCTCTGAGCCTAGAACCTACTTTCATTTTACTATAATCACAATACTTTTATTTTGCATGGTTTTAATACATGCCAGGTCAGTCAAGAGAGGATTTTCCTTTGTTTTGTTCAGAATTGTAGCAAGAGTTACTCAGGACTTCAGAAACCCTGTCAGGATGGCAGTCCTGCTCATGGTGCCAAGTCTGATACGGTGACTGTCAGTGTGCATTTAGGGACAGCGTTGACTGTGACTGTGCCTCCTAGCATAGCTGTCCTGAGCATTTACACATTGAAACACGTTATTTTACCATGAACTACTTTAAAAAAAAACAACTTTCTTTATCCCACAACTAGGACAGTATAGCAAATTTTAAAGATATGATTAGGAATGTTATATTGTATATGAATTTCATTTCTGGGTAAAGGGAATATTATAAATTATTACAAAAATGGAGTATATGATCTGGGTATGAGCTAAAGTCCTAATTTCTGAGTTTAGGATATTCTTATTTATTTAGCAAACTTTCGTCTGGTCCTATGTGCTCAGCACTATTCTAAGCACTTTATAAATATTAACTATTTGGTCCTCACCAATCCTATGAAATAAATATTATTCCCAATTTTATAAAGACACTTGCCCAAGGTCACACAGCTGGCTTAGTGGTAGAGCTGGGATTCAAACCCAGGCTGTCTGGTCTGTCCTTGCTTTTAGCTATTACATATGCCCACCCTCACCCCGTGCTCCCATGTACAAAAGGGACTTCTTGATCCCTGCCAGCTTGCCTGGGGGTGAACCCCTCCCAGACCCCATGCTTTAGTCATCTCAAGATAAGCATGCTGCTCCCACCCTCCATGACTATCTTTATTCACACTCTTCTCTGAGCCTGAAATGCTCCACTCCTCCTTCCCAACCTCCCACCCTCACCCCTACCCCATTCCCTCCTCACGCCCCCTGCCCCCTGCCCCGTGTTCATGCCCTGTGCTGGCTCTGCCTCCACACCTGTAATGCTTTTCTGCTCTCCTCTGTCCCTAGGCCTGCTGCCTCCCACAGAGCCCGCAAGGCAGGAACGTGACACACCCATCTCAGCAGCCTCACCAGCATGGCAACCTGGCACTTAGTAGGTGCTCAATGCATGCAGAGAGACAGGGAGGGAGGGGCAAGGGGAAAGCAGCAAGAGTCTGCAGGTGGAAATAGCTAATGAAGGTTACCCAGATGCGCTCTACCCTGCCTTACCTGTCTGCAGGCAGGGCAGTGACTCTGGCTCGTTGATGCCAATAACAAGTGCCCCGGTGTTACCATGACAACAGGCCTGAGGCATCTGGGAGGGGCTGGGCTCTCCTCTTAGGGCTCTTGCACTCACACCCATTCTATCTTGGCACAGACAACAGGCAGAAGCCACCTGGGATGGAAGAAGGAGAACCCGGACTCCCCTGAAAGAAGGCAGAGGCCAGTCCTCTGAGGGATGGGGCAGTCATCCCTCAGAATGTGAAAGGATAGCCAGTGTTCACATGCTCTGGACTCATGGAAGTCAAAGAAAAGCCCTCTGCTATCCCAATCTGCCAGGTCAGCAATAAGAAATAGAAGAAAACTGATTTGGCAACATCCAGAGGGTATTAAATATTCATCCTGAGTGCCCATCAGTAAAATCCCAGCAGAATACACCCTCTGACAAGTCAGCTTTCCACCACTGGAGGCTGTCCTCATGGAAGCTTGTTTATGGCTTTGTCAATTTTAATAGCCAAACCAAGATATTGTCGTAAACATTTGGAAAATGAGTGCTGACATTTCCCTTACTGCTTCTGTATTTAGGGATGTGTAATTGGAGGGCGTTTTGAGCTAAAGAAAATCAGAAGGAAGCAAGGCAATTATGCTTTACAATTAAAAGAGAAAACTGATTAAGAGCTAACAATCAAATATGTGAACTGGCTGAAAGTCTTGCCTAAGCACCCCTTGAGGGGTCACACTATGTGATCAATGGGGATCAGACTAAGCTAGATCAATGGCAACATGACAGTCATGGCATTCCTTGAAGATTCTGTTGGGGATGTGCATACGCAACAGGAAGCACACACAGGGCATGGTCAAATAACAGATCCACAAGTCAACTGTGCCATCCAACCAGAGATTCTGATGAATACTGATATGGGGGCAGGATCAGCAGGGACGAGTCTGGGGCACAGACCACAGAGAAGCTTGCTGTGATAAATGATATCACAGCAGTGGAAGGCTGATGGTAAATGGACCAGCATGAGTGAGCCAACAGTCCCTGGGTTCCTATTTGATTCTGATGGAATACGAATATTTAACACAATATTCTTTAAAACAGGGGTAGCAGGGGACACTTCTATGGAAGACACCAGAGCAGGGCTAAGAATCTATGTTTTGAGGGGCAAGGTATGCAGGGAGAGCAAAAGAAGAGAGGACAGCGCTGGTTCTGAGCTCTGGTATCCCCAGGTCTTAGAGCCACCTTGTGGCAGAAGCTGGAAGAATCAGGAGTTAAAAGAGGCACAAGATAAAACTTCTACACCATCAGCAAACTGTGTCTTGAGGAACCTCTACCAGTGTCTTATGACCCCAACTTCCAAAAAACAAATTTAAGGATTTGCTAAAGGGGATTAGGAAATCAGGAGTGGTTAACCAGAGAGAGGAAACACTAAATACAAGCATACGTTACCAAAGAGGATTCCTGAGAAGAAAAACACTTGTCTAGAACATATAATAATAAAATTAGGAACTTGGACTCTGGAGCCAAACTGCCTGTCTGGACTTGAATCCTGGCTCTGCCACTTACTATGGCACACTGGGCAATTTATGTAACTTCTGTGTCAGTGTCCTCATCTGTGAAGTTGGGTAAAATGGTCCCCCTCACAGCACTGCATGGATTAAGAAACAAGGAACTAAGTTATTATGTGTAAAGCATTCCCAGTGGTTTACAAGAAATGCTCAGTGAATATTAGCTGCTACTGTTGTTACTACCAGTAACACTAGTGCCATAACTCCTCCACATCATCAATCTACAAGGAGAAAATTCTTCTGTAAAGGACAGCATTAACTGAATGCAGAAAGAAGAATCTCTGATTACATAGCCTTTAAAAAGGTCAAAGTCTCCCTACCGCAATTACTTTTTAACGAGGCACACCTGGATTCAAATCCCAACTTCCCCCACTCACTAGGTGTTTAATTTGAGGAACTGAGAACCTCTCAGAGCCTCTGTTACTTCATTTATAAAATGGGAAAGCAATATGTTCCTCCCAGGGTTGCAGTGAAGATTAAGTGAGATAATATACACCAAGTGTCCAACAGTCTCCAGCGCACAGTCAGCTCTCATGTATTTTTCCACTTCTATTTCCCCAAAATGAATGCACCAGCACCAAAGTAAATAAGAAAGAGTAAAAACTCTTATGAAGCTCTCTGGAAAATATTAAGTGCTAAATGCATAAATATTTAATAGAGGAGAGACAGTAACACTTAAGGGGATGCACTCTCCTGGTGCCTCAACTGCCCTCTGGGAGTCCTGCACGGCCTCAAGCACCCACCTTTGCCCTTCCTAGCCTCCAAAGGGTCATAAAAGTATATTACTGTGCACCTTTAAGTAGCGGTCTCATAACAGCCTAAGTACAGTGATACTCATAAGTCTCCTCTGCCAACCACTGTTCATTCTCATTTTACAGTGAAAACACAACAGAAACCAACTCAAGACACCCAAGACACAAAGACAACCTCAGAGCAGATCTGGGGTCTCCCAACCCTCCAGCTACTTTACCCAGAAGGCAATTATGGTATAAAGGAATACATTTGCTCTATGGAAGTCAGAGATACCTGGGCTCCAATCTCAGTTCAAATCTCAGTTTTGCCCCTTAACCAGCTGGCTTGCCTCCATCAAGATTCCTGACCACTTTGAGCCTTGGTTTCCTCATTAGCAAAATAGGGATACAAACACCTACATTATTAGGTTGTTGGATAAATTTAAAAAAGAAAACATGAGTAAAGCACTAAGCACAAACCTGGCATCCAAGAGGTACTTCATACATATTTTTCCCTGTCTGCCTTTAGTAACACCATAAATTAATCCAAATAATTAGAACCTTCAATGAACTAATTCTGTATTCTTCCCTTAGGCACTCCAGTCTTAGATTCCAAGTAATACCAGAAATAGGCAAATACTAGGGATGGATTCAAAAAGGCAATGTCAGACAAGGTCTTGAGGTCAGCATCTCCTCTACCTTCTACAGCTGCAGAACCATGTGATGGGCAATGCTGCTCAGAAAACTGACTTTGAGAGCCAGAGGGGACCAAAAAAGGTGCAATTACAATCCTAATGTCCCACTCAATAACGCAGGCAAGTGGGTACCTCGACATTTTCCACAACAAGGGTTCACATAAAATGGGGTCTCTGCTTAACCTTCCACTAACCTGAAAATCCACTTAAGTAAAACAGCCTCTTCCCTGAGCCTCTTGTCAGTCAAAGTTTAGGCTCTCGTTGGCCAAGGGAACAGTCTCATCATTTATACAACTCACTTGTTCCAAATCTGGTACAGAACAGAACTCTGCTATGGGGTTGGAAGAGGTGAAGGAGAAACCCAAAGGTTACCGTTATTTAACCTCACGTTGCTGAAAACAACACTGTGGCCACCTAAAGTAGTCGGGCAGACCAGGTCAGGCCCTAACCATGGCTGTTAGTGGGCAGAAAAATCCCTTTGGCAAGGCGTTCCAGCCATCTTTGCAAAGTCAAACCCTTGCCTTTGCCTGCACAGGTGTCTGTTCCAGCCGAGGCACGGGCTGGGTGAGGGAAGGAACACAGGAGCCTACCGCCTGGGCTCCACCCTCCACCAGCTTCTAACCTGGCAGGAGACAAGGACAGATGGAGGAAAACCATAAGAGCTGCATGTACTTAACTCCTCCCGCATGTCAGCGGAAGAGCCTGATGAAGGCGAGAGTGTTTGCAGAAAGCCCCACTGACTAATGCTCCCCAAATTAATGCATCCTGATGATCCGCTTTGAGACAGACTCAGCCTCCATAGAGAAAGGAGCTCAAATTCAGGGCCCATACAACTGGACAGGGCCTGGGTGCAGGCAACATTGTGGGAGACAACCGGGGTTCAAATCCTGGCTCCACCATTCACTAGGTACATGACCTTAAGCTAGTCACTTAAATCTTTCCTGGGGTTGTTGTGCAATTCTAATAGAATAACTGACCTTCAGCACCTCATGCAAAGAAGATGCTCAATAGGTGCCTATTACCCTCCCTTTTTACTCACAATTTCCTTGTCTATGAACAGGAGACAATGATATCACTTCCACATAATTGTATGAGGATTACAGGAGATGAGGTTAAGTAAAGAAAAGGGCTTTCTTTAAAACAATTGGCCTGTGCATTTCACAAATGTCCATGTCTACAGACACACACATACACACACACACACACACACACACACACATGCAAACACACAGGTTAGGGAATTGTTCTAGATTAAAGGAGTCTAAAGAGACAGGATAACAAATGTGATGTGTGATCCCTGGTTGGATCCTAATCTGAAAGGGAAAAATAAAGGGCATGATTGGGACAACTGGGGAAATGTAGGTGATAGGGGTAGGTTCTTAGGAGTTACATGCTGAAGTACTTAGGGGGAAGTGTCCCAATGTCCACAGCTTTCCCTCCAATGGCTCAAAAACAACAACAAACATACACACAGAGGAAGAAAACAAATGCCGTCAGACAACAACTGGCTATCAAGGAAAGGAAATACAAGTGTCCACTGCATGATTCTTAAAACTTCCTATTGATTTGCAATGTCTCTAAATGAAGAGCTGGGAAAGGGGGAAGTGATGCTGAGGGCTCCATGCACACTTTTCTTTTTCCCTCACGTCTGCTCAGGCAGCATGGGCACATAGCCCACAGGTCCTCAGCACTCACCTGGCTGCAGCACCCTGATCACCAGCAGGTTGGAGGTCCTCTCCGCCAGTTGCGTCCAGGTGTTGTTGTAGTTCTTCCGCCACAGCTCTGCCACACACTGGTACTTGCCTGCTTCCGTGTCACTGGCTCGGCTGATGATTAGGCGGACGTTGTTGCTGGACTCAGCCTTCTCGGTGGCAGTTCGGGTTCGGAAGCTGGAGGACCTGTCCCCCCACTGGACCCCTCCGTCCCGGGTGAAGGTCACCAAGTCATGGAACTCCACCGTGCCCACCGGCTGGAACCGCCATGTCACTGACACGGGGACCTGGGCAGGGTAGTGGGGTTTGATGATACACTGCAAGTCAAAGGAGTCGCTGTAGGTCACCCCCGGTGTCCGGGAGATGGCTGTGACTGCGAAGCCCATTTCTGGAGAGAGAGCAGAGAGATTCAACCAGAGGAGGCATGTGGCTTTCTCAGGGCAGTATGACATCAGCAATGGGGCAGCTGGCAAAGCAAGCAGTGTGGAGCAGAGGCTCTCGGGGCCCCTTTTGAGCTCTCAGGCTAGTGTTGCTTTTAGTATCCTGCTGAGGCCCAGTCCAAGAGTTTCCAAGACTCCAAAGAAAGGCCCACCACAATTCCCCCTGAGCAGCGCTAGCCTAACCCTTCCCAATGAGATCCTCGTGCATTTGCTCCTCCCCTGGAATTAGACATCACAATCCTCTCAGGGACTGATTGCATGTAGGCAGGGTTGCTCCTAGAAATCTTGAGATTCCATGAGAAAACAGGAAAAGAAAACCCCAAAGCCAATTTCCTCCATTGCGCAGGAGGAAAACACAACCACACAGCCCCAACACCTCTTTTCCTGGTCCCTTAGTGCACTGGTGCTGAGAAGGGAAGCAGATGGAGTCGGCCTCCAGTCCCTTTCTCACGTCCCTCATGAAATCCAAGAACAGAGCAGGTGGGGACCTCCAGTGGGGTGGGACAATTGTCCTAAATGCAGGGTTCTGCAGTCTCAGCGGCTGTGGGTCTCTCAATATTCCTTATTGAATGGGCAGCACTGCTAAGCTCTAATACTGACTCCTCAATATGAGTACCTCAGAGTTCCTTCAGCCTGGAAATACTGCTTAATATTCATACATTGATCACAATCATAAAGCTAACAGTAGCCAGTATTTATTGAGCACTATCTAGGTGCAAGCATGGTGCCAACTGCTTTGCTCTCATCATGCTCCACTGAATCCCCAAAACAACCTTGTAGAACAGGCAGGCTTGTCATCTCTTCCTGCAGACGTAGAAACTGATGCAGAGAGAGGTTAGATAAATTGCCCAATATCAAGCATTTGGTAAGTCAATGACAGAGTTAGTCTCCAACCACATGTAACTGATTCCAGGGGCCTTTTTAGGTTGCTTTACCCATGGAAAGCATAACACAATGGTTAAAGGTCTAGACTCTGGAGCCAGCAGCCAAGCCTTTGATACGTCCCAGCTGAGTGACATTAAAGTTACTTAACTTCTCTCTGCCTCTGTTTTCCAATCTGTAAAATGAGTCTCTGTGAAGATTAAATAAATCAGTGTTTATAAATATTACAAATAGTACCTGGCACATGAGATATACTATATTTTGTTAAATATTTTGTTAAAAAATGAAATAGAAATTTTAAAAAAGTACTTTAAATTCTGTAATGTGAAAGACTGGCCACAGGATGAATCTTTTGGCTTTCTATGGTGAGGTTAAGTTGGCAAATAGGTAGGTACAATTTGCTGAAAACTCTGGACCTTTGATTTGGATTTCATGAGCTATCTCTATATACCTTTTAAAAAAGTTTATGACACGGAGGTCCATCCTTAAACATGAAGCACCTCTGACTGTCACTGTGCACCTGTGTGTAGTAGGTGTTGCATGAGGGTGGTGTAGGACAGAACCTCAGGGACAGGACCCACACCAGGTGCTCCTGGCCTCACACCTGAAGGGGAGAGAGCTTCCCCAAGCAAATGACTTTGTCTAGTCCTGACACAGGCACATGCCACAGTCACAGAGCACCCAAGCTGCTCTAACTGAACAGCCATAATGGCCCATTGTACATTTGGGACCCACATCAAATTATACTGATATGAAAATTCATGTGTGTCATTGTTAACTTTAGACTGAAAAGACAACCTTAATTAGTCTAGAGTGCCCTCCCATTCTTCCTTGTTCAGTCCTTTGGGCCACCTGATTATGGCTGTAGCCAGAGGTATCTCAGCGGTGGAGATCAGGTGAACAGTGCTGGCCTCCAGATCCCAGGGCAGAGCTCCTCAGTGCCCCTGGCTGTGAGAACCACCAGACATATGGTGAGTAAGAAAAAACTCAGGGGATAACCTGATACCATAAATTACTTCTAGAGAAACAATCCTCACTAACTCTAATCACTCATTGGACATTCCTAACCTTCCAGGATGGTTAAAAAAAAAAAACACCAGTACTGGACATCCAAAATTTGTCCCCCAAGTTCCATCTGACTGGGTCCACACAGGTGCTGAGTATGGACACAGGAACTGAGCTGATCAGGAAACGCAATCACTGGAGGAAGTTTCTAAGACAGAAATCTGAGCCATATAATTACTGCAAAAAGCAGGTCAATCTTTAGGATTAAGCTTTAGAAAACAAATGTAATTCTAATCTCAGAGGGGTAAGAAAATGGAGGACTCTGTTAAGGACAAAAACCACTCGGGGCTGCCATCTTTACTGGAAGTATCCAAAAGCACCACCATCCCGACCTGCAAGGAAGGTGGTGACACAGTCCCAGGGAGTGGGACATAAAGTTGCTGAGGACAACCAATGTCTCCTGATAAACAGGAAGACCTGACATAACAAGTTTCTTTCCCAGCAAAGTCACAGACTGGTCGTTTAAAATCTAATATACTGATTATATCCAAGCAGATAAATGTTGATAGAAGCCTCTTTACCCCATGAGAAGCAAATCTAATCTTCCTTGGTTTTAGCAAATCTCAAGGTATCTTTTCATTCCATGCTAATGAGGGAATAGCTTTGTTAGGTATGGGCCCCATCAGGTAGTAGAAACTTCTAGCCTTAGGCAAAGTATTTAATGTGTCTCAGTCTCAGTTTCCTCCATAAAATGAAAGTGTCTGTCACTTGGCTAGGTGGGGATTCAATGGGACAACTAAGCTTAAGTGTTAAGGATTAGCCAGGAACATAGTAAATGCTAAATAAATGACAACAGATAATTTTATACCCTTCTCTGCTCTCTTTCAGGAAGGCTGGCCCCTGAACAGCAGGGCAGGAAAGACATGCCACACAGTGCTCAGCCACTCTGCTCTCTTTAAGGCCAGGCTGGCAGTGGCCATGCTCCTCCACCTGGGGCCACCACTATGGCTGGGTGGCTTCACTAACCTGGATAGAGTTCTGATAACATCACTCTCTCCCAGCCAGACTAGGAGTAGTCACAGCTGCCAGCTATTGCTATCCCTCAGGAGCCCCATCATCCACTGTGGGTCCCTTAGTCCCTGCTAGCACTATCTTAATTAATTAAACCCTTATAAGAAACAAAATAGATATAAAGGAAAGTACTTCAAACTCTATAGGTAAAAGACTGGCCATAGTTTCCTGCTAGAACTCTGACAGACAAAAGTCAGGATAAGGTGTTTGACACTGAAGCTGTCTCCATGCCAGACCCACTGCCAGTCCCACCGCTCACTCACCAAGAGCTATGATGGAGATGGGAGTGCTGGCCCGGCGCTCCCCAACAATCTGCCACTCGCCATCCACCACCCGCACCCATTCAGTCACATGGCATTCATACTGGCCCTCGTCCTCCTTCCTGCTGTTGAAGATGCCCAGGCTGAATGAGTTGGGCTGCACCTGCTCCATCTGGACGCTCCCAAAGCTGCTGCGCTCCCAGTAGGACGAGCCTGGCTGCACGGTGCCATCCCGGTCTAGCCACATGATATTGCTGCGGCAGTTCTGCCTGTCCACAAGCTGCCAGATGACAGAGAAGCGACCCTGCGGCCTGCCTGCCATGCGGACGCTGCAGGAGAAGCGCAGGTCGTCGCCCTCAAGGATGACGCTGGCATTGCTGGCCACCCCCACGGAGATGCTGCTCTCTAGGAAGAGGGAGAGAGAAACACCCTGGAGGCTTTATGGTCTCCACAGCGCCCTCCCCACAGAGGAAACAGGAGGAGGGGTGCAAATGGAATCATATTCAGGTACGGTGAGCCTCAGAGGGTCAAAAACACTCTGACCCTAGCTGATGTAAGCCCTGGCTGGTTCTGGGCATTGCTCCCTGTGGTTTTAGATCTGATAATCTAGGATGTTCTTTGCTGTGTGCAGAGAACTGTGATAACGAGGTTCTAACACCTGAGCCTGAATAAGAACCTAAGAAATACAACATAGTGGCATGATGATTAGGGCATAAAACAATTTATTGGGTAATCTATTCAGCGGCAGTTCAGGGTTTTTCAAGTTGAATTTTCAGCAAGAAGAGTAACTCCAAAATCCTACTTCACTTCACTCTTCCTACCATTCGATACTACAGCAGTCAAATAAAAGCTGAACATCCATAATGTGCCATTTGAGTCCTTCAGGACAATTTAGGAAGTACGAAAAAAAAAAAACTGACAGTAAGTATTTGGATGATAACGTGTGCTTAAGTGTGGGTAATAATAGAGCACAGATGGTCTGGTTTTGCAGTGCATGAGGAGCAGGCTTTCATTCTTTCATTAACACACAGGAATAAAACAAAGCCAGCAGCTCATCATCCACCACTCTCCCACCTGTCCAGTCAGCCCTGGGGCTCCTTTGCTCTCTTTCTAGAAACATTTGGCCAATCAAAAGTTTGGGATAAGGATTCCACTCCCTTCCCTGTCTCATCTAGCCTCTGCTGCTCGCTTAACTATCTGAATCACTCAATCAAATTATTTAAACTCGACATGCCTCAGCCTCTTCTTCTGTAAGACAGGTAGAGAGCCACCTTTAATTGTAGAATTCTTTAAATATTAAAAAGTAAATGAGATGATGCATATAGATTCACCTAACACATAGTAGGTTTTCAAAAACTGGTCATCATGATCATGATTAATTTTACTATTCCACATAACTCTTTGTTTTTATAAACATCACAGATAGCCTAATATGTTTTAATTATGCACGTAGTATTTTGTATAATTATCTATATTGAGTTCAGAAGGTCTGTAAGTATTAAAGAACACAAAGTAACTAATTTGGCTCCAATTTTTGGGTACCACCCACATTAAATACATGCAATAATTTAAACCAATTAATTAAATCAAATCCCAGATTTTAAGAGGCACACCCAATTACCAAGAGAAAACACACACATACACATAACAATGCATTTGAATCAAATCTTTTCTCTCCTTTATTTCCTCAACAAGCAGAAACAAAGATGAGCACTGAGCCTCAAAATGTAGCTCTTATTATAGTGAGGATGCCTGCTAGCCATTCTGGATGTGCTTGTTTTATGTGAAAAATAAAAGGTCTGGATGGGGCAGGGAATAGCAATTTTCCCAGGAGGGCGACCTCCCCCAGGAGTCATACCAGGATGATTCATAGAGATAATCAGGCTCCTGAACAGTCACCATCTATAGCACTAATGGTTAAGGGGCTGGATTTGGAGACTTCTTAACTCTGTAATCCTGTGGTTCTTCCTTAACCTACCAAAGCTCCAATTTCTCATGTGAAAAATGGAGATACTAATAGTGCCTACTTCTTAGGGCATGACATTGACAGGATTAGATGAGGTAATTATTTTTCATCATCATTAATAACAACAATATTCCTCTTTAGATTAAAGACTCATCCCCACTGTTATCAATTCAAAATAAGGGATTAAAAGGGCAACTGCAGCATCAAGGAAGAAAATTCTTTCACTTGTCTTAAGCAGGAGAATGACTTGCAGGACCTCACTCTCATCCCCTACTGTCATCCCAGTGGACGCTTATGCAAGTCCTGGCTCATTTATTGAAAGGGCTACTGTTTGGTGGTGCTCTGTTGCTTGAGCAAGCCTGGAAACCCACATAGTTAGAATGTGGGGCTACAAGAAGAAATGCTATTTTATTACAGCAGCTGAGGCAAAGGCAACTACAGACCTGGTGCCTCACTGCCCACTAAACACTATTTACAAGAATTTCCAGGCCTGAGAAAAGGCAGCTGACAATTTTAAACTCTCTGGATTAAGTGAAAACTAGGACAGAACTAATAAAAATCTGAGTACACATTCGCAAATGAAATTTCAAATCAGGAAGTTGATGGTGTAGCACAGGCTAAGCGCAGGGCGGTGGGTGTGGAGTTAGAAGCAAATATTTCCTAATACAATGCAAGCTCAACCACTAACTGAACAATCAGCTCTGTCACTTCCTGTGTGGTGCTCTGATTTCTTCATTCATTAGATGGATATCATATTGGCCTCTACGAGGATTTGAGAGGTGGGAGCGGAGAAGGAGATGATATATGCAGAAGCACTTTGGTCTCTTAGGAGAAAAAGCGCCATTAAAATCCAAGGCATTATCACCATTACCGATGTGATTGTTGTTGTTCTTCAGCCGACTTACCCAAGTGGCCTTGGGACAGGATCTGGCGGTGCTGGGGGACTTTAACTACCCAGTTATCTGCTGGAAAAGCAATATAGCAGGCCACAGATCATCAAACAAGTTCTCAGAAGGGGTTGGGGGAAATCTTAGGACAAAAAATATAGGAAGTAAACAGAGTGGCTGCCCTTCACTTGATCCTTAGAAAACAATGAGGAATTAGTTGCAGATTTAAAAGTAGAGAGTCCGTGGTTAAGGCAAGCACAGACTGACAGGAAAATAGTAAAGACAGTGGGCATTCAATTCAATAATTTCAGTTGTACAGTATTCAGCGAGCACCTACTCTATGCAAAGCACCATGCTAGGCATTGCAGGGTGGAAAAGGCTAAGAAACAAAAGAATTTCAAGATAATTAGGTGGAGCGGGCGGGCGGGCTGCTGAGGACGCGCCGCCTGCGCCTTCCTCCCTGCGTGCCTCGCCCCGGGCGGCCCGGGGCTGCCGCGGTGCGCGGGTGCCGGGCCCTGCCTTGCCGGCCATGGGGGAAGGGGGCGCCGCGGCGGCGCTGGTGGCGGCGGCAGCAGCAGCAGCAGCGGCAGCGGCAGCGGTGGTGGCCGGGCAGCGGCGGCGGCGGCTAGGGCGCAGGGCGCGCTGCCATGGGCCTGGCCGGGCTGCAGGCGGGAAGATGTCCAAGCCCTGCGCGGTGGAGGCGGCGGCGGCGGCGGTGGCAGCGACGGCCCCGGGCCCGGAGATGGTGGAGCGGAGGGGCCCGGGGAGGCCCCGCACCGACGGGGAGAACGTATTTACCGGGCAGTCAAAGATCTATTCCTACATGAGCCCGAACAAATGCTCTGGAATGCGTTTCCCCCTTCAGGAAGATAACTCAGTTACACATCACGAAGTCAAATGCCAGGGGAAACCATTAGCCGGAATCTACAGGAAACGAGAAGAGAAAAGAAATGCTGGGAACGCAGTACGGAGCGCCATGAAGTCCGAGGAACAGAAGATCAAAGACGCCAGGAGACGTCCCCTGGTACCTTTTCCAAACCAAAAATCTGAAGCAGCAGAACCTCCAAAAACTCCACCCTCATCTTGTGATTCCACCAATGCAGCCATCGCCAAGCCGGCCCTGAAAAAGCCCATCAAGGGCAAACAGCACCCCCGAAAAAAAGCTCAAGGAAAAACGCAACAGAATCGCAAACACGGATTTCTACCCTGTCCGAAGGAGCTCCAGGAAGAGCAAAGCCGAGCTGCAGTCTGAAGAAAGGAAAAGAATAGATGAATTGATTGAAAGTGGGAAGGAAGAAGGAATGAAGATTGACCTCATCGATGGCAAAGGCAGGGGTGTGATTGCCACCAAGCAGTTCTCCCGGGGTGCCTTTGTGGTGGAATACCACGGGGACCTCATCGAGATCACCGACGCCAAGAAACGGGAGGCTCTGTACGCACAGGACCCTTCCACGGGCTGCTACATGTACTATTTTCAGTATCTGAGCAAAACCTACTGCGTGGATGCAACTAGAGAGACAAATCGCCTAGGAAGACTGATCAATCACAGCAAACGTGGGAACTGCCAAACCAAACTGCACGACATCGACGGCGTACCTCACCTCATCCTCATCGCCTCCCGAGACATCGCGGCTGGGGAGGAGCCCCTGTATGACTATGGGGACCGCAGCAAGGCTTCCATTGAAGCCCACCCATGGCTGAAGCATTAACCGGTGGGCCCCGCGCCCTCCCCGCCCCACTTTCCCTTCTTCAAAGGACAAAGTGCCCTCAAAGGGAATTGAATTTTTTTTTACACACTTAATCTTAGCGGATTACTTCAGATGTTTTTAAAAAGTATATTAAGATGCCTTTTCACTGTAGTATTTAAATATCTGTTACAGGTTTCCAAGGTGGACTTGAACAGATGGCCTTATATTACCAAAACTTTTATATTCTAGTTGTTTTTGTACTTTTTTTGCATACAAGCCGAACGTTTGTGCTTCCCGTGCATGCAGTCAAAGACTCAGCACAGGTTTTAGAGGAAATAGTCAAACATGAACTAGGAAGCTAGGTGAGTCTCCTTTCTCCAGTGGAAGAGCCGGGACCTTCCCCCTGCACCCCCGAAATCCAGGGACGGGGTGTGAGGAAGATGCTGCCTCCCAGTGGCCTGGACGGGATGTTTCCAAGCTCTTGTTCTCCTAACGTCTCGACAGGCACTCACTGAAGTGTATGAATATTTTTTAAAAAGGTTTTTGCAGTAAGCTAGTCTTCCCCTCTGTTTTCTCGAAAGCTTACTGAGCCCTGGGCCCCAAGCACGGGCCAGGCATAGATTTCCTCTTCCACAAGCTGCCGCTTTTCTGGGCAGCTTGAAGCATCAGGGCGCGAAATCAAACTAGATGTGGGCAGGGAGAGTGTTGCTTACCTGCCCTGCTGGGGCAGGGTTTCCTGAAACTGGGTTAATTCTTTATAGAAATGTGAACACTGAATTTATTTTAAAAATAATAATAAAAATTAAAAATAATTAAAAAAAACACAGAAAACAACTTACATGTATATAGGTCTTGAAGTGAGTGAAGTGGCTGCTTTTTTTTTTTTTTTTTTGCTTTTTTTTTTTTGCTTTTTGTAGAAGAGATTGAGAATGGTACTCTAATCAAAAATAAAGTTTTGTAGTGGGACCAGAAATTACTTACCTGACATCCACCCCCATTCCCCCTCATCCTGCTGGGGTTGAAAGTTCCAGACCTGCTGTCGAGGCTTTGTGTTTGTCAGATACCCAGTGTCCTCCTGCAAGGACACAACTGAGCTGAGGTGTGAGCCTAGGAGCCCAGGACCCCTGACCCCAGCCGATGCTGCCAGCCTCAGAAAGACACCCAGGTGTGCAGGGGGGCACACAGGGCCCGGCAGCCCCCAGGAATCAAGGATAGGGCTAAGGTTTTCACCTTAACTGTGAAGGCAGGAGGAATAGGTGGCTGCTTCCTCCCGCCCTTCACAGAACTGATTCTCACACACTGTCCCTTCAGTCCAGGGGGCCGGGGCTCAGGAGCCATGACCTGGTGTCTCCTGCCCACCCTGGTCCCAGGTAAATGTGAATGGAGACAGGTATGAGAGCCTGTCCTCATCTTTGATTCCCCCCCCAACCCCACCTCGGGCCTTACGACGGTGTTACCTAAGAAAGTCTTCCCTCCCACCCCCGCCCCCCGCTAGCCTGGTCAGTGGTCAGCAAATTGGAAGAGGATCCGATGGGAGTGTAAATATGAGACACAATGTCTTGATTATACCTGTTTGTGGTTTAGCTTTGTATTTAAACGAGGAAATAAACTTGAAAATTATTTGTCATCATAAAAATGAAACAAATTAAAATATTTATTGCCAGGAAAAAAAAGATAATTAGGTATGTGTGTGCATGGTTTTTAACAAAATAATAATAAGCATAAAAGAAAATAATCCAGTTGATGAGAAAAGAAGAAAAGACTAACAAGAGGACCCCTATGGCTACTTTTTACTTCACACTTGAAGAGAAATATTTTAAATATTAAAACATATAAATAAAAAGTAAAGGAAATTATTACAAGGCTCAGAGAAAGAATAGTTTTAGCAGCTGAGAAAAGGTTAAAGATTAGTCTTAAAACTTTACCACTTGTTTAAAATCAGAGCATCGTAGGTTTTTATTCTCTTTACTAAAAACAGAACTATGGGAGAATGAGATTAATAAGAATATCTTGATACTGTGAATGTTTAAACACAACACAAGCAAACACCGGTAGTTTCTGGAATCCCTAGCAATGGCCACTACCCACCCACACAAGGCCAGTCTACATGAAGGCTGGGAGCCCACTGAGGCAGCCTCAGAAATCAGCTAAGCTTAAAAGACTATGCTCCAGGAAGATGTGAGAGGTCCCATCCACTGACTTTTAGAAACACAATTTCAACAGGGAAAAGCCATTTAGGGAAATGCCAGCCTTTATACCTGAAAAACCCAGATGGCAAATCCTTAATAATGCACTTTATGATTTAAAATCCTCCCATAAAAGACCAGCTCTCCTTAAGTGAGATTTCAAGGCAGGCATCTATCTACCCACTTCTTCTGGGACTTGATTCCCACACAAGAGCAAACAGCTTTCTGGGATTCCTGGTTTCCCTCCAAGCTGAGCTGGCACTGCTTGTGTATGCACAGGGCTGCTAGCAATCAGATAGGCCTATGCCCAGCCCTAGACTGCCCTGATCCTGGACACCCCTGATCCTGATCCTCTGCTATGGGGAGACTGCTAAATGTAGGCAGGTGGGCTACAACAGGGAAGAGAGGCTCAATGGTTTTTCCCCCAGCTCTGCATTAACCTCGGGGGTTCCATCTGCCTCCCCTCACCCTCACCACACTATTCTCTCTCCCCCTACCTCTCCTAAATGATGCTGAGCCAAAGGAGAAGAAAGCAGCACATCTCTCTACTTACCGAGGGGGAGGACTATGATGGGGATGTTCTTGGGACGCTTGCTCTCCTTATCAGTGAATTCCCCCGTCACGGTTTTCTCTCGCTCAGTCACCCGGCAGTTGTATTTCCCGCTATCTTCCTGGCGGAGGTGGTAGATCTTCAGCACAAAGACACTGTCGCTCTCTTTGGCCACGTTAAGCTGTCCCCTGGCTTCCCGGTGAGCAAATTCGCTGTTGAGGACAGGCACAGCGTTAGGACCCATGGTGGCGATGAGCGAGCTGTTGAAGGCCCAGGAGACAGCAAAGTAACGGTCGGGAACATTCTGAGCCTCCAGGATGCATCTGAACTCCACCGGCTCGCCCACCGTGTGCAGCCGCTTCTCTGTTTCCAACCGAACAGTGAATTCTTTGTCTGAGAGAACAATTAAGAAAAGAGACACATCCTGGGTGAATGAGGGCCCCAGCCAACTAAACCACATTAGCACATTCCCACTATCCTTCCTCTTCTTTACAATACTAATTGCAGGGAGTACCACAACACTTGGCTTGAGAGTAAAATCCAACTCAGACCCAGGTTATCTGAGGTCCAGAGAAACGCCTGAATATCACAGACAGAATTCAATACTACTTCAGCCCAGACGGTCTAAGCAAACTGTTACCCCAGTTAAGACCAATGGGGCTCAGTCTGAAGCTTTAGATGTCTTGCATGAAACCCCCAGGTCAGTGAGAAGCTACTAATATCACTCAAATGGTGGATTACAAATATCTAGCCTTGATATATGCACCCAGAACTCTATTTAAGGAACAGCCTTATAAACATTTTCAGCAGATACTGTAAGACTTACCCCACTGAGGTCTGTGGGAAAAAATTACAGAGTGGCCTAGGTGCTGGCCCAATCCTAACAAATGCTCAAAGATTAAAATTCCCTCTCTACCCCCCGCCATGTGAATACTAGAAATAAGTTGTAGCCATGACAAAACCCTAACAGAATTACATAGAAAAAATAAAAACTAATGTCTGTTCACTAGTTTACCACCTGTCAGATCAAATCTTTAGGCAGATTTCAATGGAAGTAGGTACTTTCCCACTGAAGTACCTACTAAGTACTTACTTTAGTAGGAAAGTACCTACTTCAGTGGGAAAGTACCTACTAAGTACTCACGCCTGGTTAAACCTTAGTAGGTACTTTAGTAGGAAAGTACCTACTTCTGCTGAAAGCCAGACAGACTCTGAAATGATTACTAAAACCAAGCAGCCTCCAAAGAGCTAGGTGTTTTTTAAATTTTTATTTATTTACTTATTTATTGTAACAAGGTCTCGCTCTGTTGCCCAGGCTGGAGTGTAGTGGCATGATCATGGCTCACTGCAGCCTCGACTTCCCAGGCTCCAGCCATCCTCCCACCTCAGCCTCCGGAGTAGCCACCATATCTGGCTAATTTTTGTTGAGTTGGGTGTTTAACCAGGCATGAGGGGGTGACCAAAGAGGGGCTCATCACCACTAACAGCATCACCACAACCTGTGTACCAGTGTACAGTGGCTATTAATCTCATTAGACAGCTATCGTATCTCATAGGCACCCAGGGCAGAAGTCAGGGGGAAGAAAATGGAGTTAAGGGTTAGAGACTGGAGCTGTGACCACTGCCCAGTTCTAGCTCTGTTCCTCTAAAAAGAACACTGAGGTGGAAAAAATCTCATGGCAGAGATGTTTGAATTCCATGTAGATTCATTAGCTCTGACCTTGTCTGCCTTCCCTAGACTGGCATGTCTAGTCTTTCCCACTATCTGCAAGATCTTGCCCATTCATCCCGTCCTAGGCACTCTTCAAGCAGACGAGGTTTCTGTTTCCCCGAGAAAACATAAGAGTCACGCATGAGCAGCATCCACATTCCTCTTTTCCAGCCCCAGCTCAGCTTTACCCCTCCCACTCCTCAGGCTCTCCAGCCCCTCCCTGCCGATATAGGCCAGTGACCTGCTGCAAACACCTCTTCTTTCCAGTGACCTAACTACTTCCTCTAGCAGCCAAACTTCCTGACAGGGAAAACCACGTCATCAACTCCAGGGCCTCCCCTCCAATGAAGTAGCTGCTGTCACAGCTTCCAGCTCCCAAGAGACCAGTCTTAAGAGGCATGGATTGAAGGAAGCACATTTCACTCTGCCACCATCTGCCTGGATGAACACACCCATATGGGACAGTCCCCATGTTATCTGCTGGATATTATCTCTCATGTCAACCCAATTAGTCATTTATAACCCGACATCAATGACAGAAAAGCACTCCTTCCACATAAACACCACTGGAGCTGTGCAAGGGGTACCCTAGACCTCAGACCTTTCCATTGCTCCAGGTTAGCCTGGCTGTAACTCTGGCTTTCTTCTTTCAGAGGCCAAAGGATCTGCTCATCTCAGGGGAATCCCCCCATGCCTTGGTGACACCTTCATGTTCCCAGGTTGAAGACACAAGATTTACCCACATCACCCCCGTTTCTGCCCTTGGTTATGCCCAGTCAATTACATCTCTAGAAACTGACCTGTGCTTTTTCCAATACCCCTTCCACTTCATCTCACTGAAATTAGGCTTCACTGACTTAGCAAATGTCATGAATGATCCACCCTACCCCTACCCCTACCCCCATCCTAACCAAAGGCTTTCCTCAAGCAGGTTGAGGCCTCTGAGCCTGCTCTATGATCCCTTCTCTCCTGCTCTTCTTGCTGGCCTGCCCACTCTGTTCCACTCTCTCACCTGCTTCTCTGGTCACCCCTTACTGCTGCTGTTCTCCCAGGCCCTTTCCCATTTTGACCCCATGAGCTCTTCCAGGGCCCTGATCACTCTCAGGCTCGGTCTCTGAGCCCCAGACCCCTATGTCTGAGGACCCACTGGGTGTTTCGCACACTGAGCATCTCTATCAGAGTCTATCTGATGGATGGGCTCTTTCATTAGAATTTACAAAAACAAAAGGCAGCCAATGCTGCCACAAATGCAAAGGTCCCGCATGTCCTCATTATTGTTCCTTCCCTCCCACAGTTCAAGGAACCCCCAGAGCCCCAGCCCCAGCCCCTGGGGTTCTAGACAGTTGGACCCCTCCTTCCATTGTGCTCTTTATTCTTTCGCCTCTGGCACCCACTGACCTAGCCTTGGCTCTTATTAGCTCTTTTCTACCTGGTCTCTTGGCTTCAGACTCAACAGATTTAATCAACCTCCAGGTGGCCTCCATAGGTTTTTCTTTCTGAAACCCTGATCTGATTGTCTTACTCCCTGCTTAAAAATCTCTACCTCCTCTCCAACTGTCTGCAGCAGAGGTCTTCAAACTTTATTAAGAAGAGGACAAAGGAAGTGGACTTTTTATTCATATAAAATCTTCTGCTGCCCAACATAGTTGAAGCAAGGGGGGACCACCCAGGCCCTTGCATGCCTTCTCCCTGCACTCCTGGGTGTGCACAATGTGCACATGAACACCAACACACACCCATGTCTAACCTCCTAGGCACCTTTGAGGGGCTTCCAGGGTTCCAAGAACAGCTTAAAAACTCTTGGCCCACAGAGTCAAGCCCTGGCTCTATATCACTGCATTTGGGGCTTCGGGCTCCCTTTCCTCTCATCACACACATCTGGAACTGAACATCTGGAACTAGTCATACTTGACTCCTTTCTGCTTGCCAAACATATCAAACACTTTTGCACTTTTATGCTTCTTCTCCTGACTCCTCAAGCTTCCAGACTCAGTTCAAGTCAAGAAACTTATTGGTGTTCCTGGATTTGTCTTATCAACCATCCCATTCAGAGAAAACTATGGTTGCAAGAACACTTCCTATTTCCGGTATTCCCAGAGGACTCTATACAAATGCTATCAATGCACTTAGCACATTTTACTTGTCCATTGGTTCTCAGGTCTGCCTAAGTGCAGGGACCAGTGCTAGTCATCTTTGAAGCCCTTAATGCCTATCACCATCACACCTTCAATGCTGTGGAGACTGGCTACATGTTTACTGAAATAAACTGAGAAGGGTAGAGTTGGAGATGCAACTACTGAACCTAAACAGCACAGGAATGCAGAGTGAAGTCATCAACTTTTTTTTCACTTAGTTTTCCTTTTGATGGCTTAGTCTAGATACATTTTCAGGGTAAATTCAAAAAGTTCTAATTCCAAATTGGTAAGATTAAAATAAAGAAGATTAACTGATGCAACCTAATTTAAAAGCATTAAGACTCAAAATTTGGCCCAAATTTTTGAAGTTGATCTCAAAACTTTCCAGGAAGGGAAAGGATAAATATAAAATAAAGCCCCTTGGATAGATTTTTTAATACTGAAAAATCCAGAAGCTGCTAAATGCCCTACAGAGCAGATAAAGTGCCCCCTATCCCTACCAACCCCTATGGTAAAAGATTTCACATCCATTAGATGACTTATTAAAGTGATGTCCAGAGAATTGCTTCTGCCCTAGAAGCTTTGCTTGAAAAAAAAAATGTAGATAGCAGAAGAATCACCTGGGAAGCGTGCCAGAAATCCAGCTTCCCAGGTCCCATCCCGGGAGCCTCCAATTGAAGACTTCTGGGACAAAGCCCCAAAATGTGTACTGTTAGCTGAGTCTGAGGCATTACTCTAGAATGGCAGAGAAAGTATGCAAAGACCCAGACAACTGACTGCAGCAAATGGGACAGGGAGCCCAAGAGACAGGTCCTGAAGAAGGACCCCACCTGTACTGCAACTCACCAGCTCATTTCCCACAAAGCCACACTCACTCACCAGAACCACCACAGTCCTCACTGGAAGTGAGCATCCACACAAGGAAAGGCTTTCAGGCCACTCATCACCAACTTAGTGACGGCACAACAACCACGCTCCAACCAAAGCTGGGGGAACTGAAGGCCCATGTGAGAACCTGCCCTCAGCCCAGCAGAGGCAGCCAGCAACAGCTGTCAGCTCTGGCCTGGAGCCTGGTGGGCTCATGAGACTGGGGAGTAGAGTCTGGGGCCACAGGAGATACCAAGAGAAGCCAGGGAGGGTTTCAGCTGGCTGTGCCACCATCATTTTGCCTCAAGACAAATGATGGTGTCTAAAGACATCATGCAACCTCCTCAGGACCCCTTCCAGGTCTTCACTTAAGAAAACATATACAGTGGAACTTGGTACTCTCAGACTGGCCTCATCAACATGCCCTATGACTCCTCTTGAGCCCCAACATAAAGTAATCTGCATTCAGCATCCTCACCTGCAAAATAGGAATACTACCACGTACTCACCTCACAGAACGTCTGGGGGATGGTGAAGTAATATGTGATAAAGCATTTTGGAAATTACAAAATATCACCAAAGACTATTATTAGATAAAAAATAATAATTTAAGCCAAAATTTCTCTAGTTCATAATGTTAGACCTTGGATGGAAGTCTCATTATCTCAAATGGCTTCTGCAAATGAAACCAGATGGGTACCTGAGGAAGGCAACATCATTAAACGGGGCAGCAACTGTGGCTAATGGGAATGAAAGCCCGGAGTTTTAAGATACAAATGGTTTCTCAGAAATCTCCCAATTTTTAAAATGAGTTTCTAATTCAAAAAAGTGTAAACACCACGTAGGTGGAAGAAAGCATGTCTCTAAGCAGGATTCAGTCTGTGTGGCACCTGCCTGTGACTCAGGTCTTAGGATACCTATGTCCCGCACATCCCTCAGCTCCCTCCGGCCGCACACAAGACCGGCTTTAACTTCACATGAAAACCTGCTGTCCTGGTAGAGGTGCCCAAAGAAGGAGTCTCCACATTCTCCTAGTATCCGACAGCTTTCACCACCAAGTAAAGGACAGGACAAGAGGCTCAGAGGGACTGACCAGTTGGCTGGACGTTGACCACGGCTCCCTCGGAACGCTTTCGGGTCATAGCATACCACGACCCATCCGGATTCTGGATCCACTCGGCGGCCTCGCAGTAGAACTCGCCCTGGTCAGAAGGCTGCAGGTGGAAGATGGTGAGGCGGAAGGTGGTCCTCCCCAGCTTGTCCAGCCGCACCTCCCCCAGGCTCTGCCTCCAGGCATATTCGCTGCCGGAGTGAAGCATGAAATCTCGGCTCAGGGAGATGACCTCCACGGGCTTCTCGCCAACTTTCTGCCAGAGCCAGGCCACAGCACCTGGCTGTGCTGAACGGTCTCCGAGGCCACCTCACAAGTGAGTTCCAGTGGGTCCTGCTCCACTCTGTGCAGAGTCTGGGGCATGGCAGTGGTCTGCAGGGAGTCTGGGATCACTGCAACACAGAAATGTCCTGAGACTGCAGTCACAAAGCCACAGAATCTGAGACTCCCGGGGCTAAGCTCCCATTCCACGCAGGCGTCACCACACTGCGTCCCTAACAGTCATCCTTGAACCATCGATTCAAGGCCACAGACAGCCCCAGATGCACATAAACAGAAAGTTTTCTGTTCAGATTTGGAAATGCATTATTTTGGTGCTTACACTTACCTGTCTCGTATTTTAATAACACTTGGATAAAACATGGGGTGTATTTCATATTACATAATAAATGAACTCCCTGAAAATACTGTCTTTAAACAATTGTCTTATAGGTCAAATAACATTTGTTGTTGATTCTGGCACTGCTTTGAGATACTTTAACTTCACTTCTGACTGATCCTCTAATGGAAATGCCTCCTGGAACTTTTAGTTTTACATTTCTATACAATATCCTTTCTTTCCTTCCCACATCCCCATCCTGTAACTTACTTCAGCAATGCAGCCCTAGGAAGATGATTTTTTTAAAAAACCATTTTTGGTAGAAACAATAATCATCATACCCTATTTTTAGTGGGTTTAATTTTCACCTAATTCATCGATCAAAGGGGTCCTCACTGGAAGGAAGCCACAGTCTGGAGAGATTCAGGCAAGAGAAGAGATTTTCTCCGTGATCCCTTGGTCAGAATCATACCCTGATCCTTGCTTGCACCTTTCTGGAGATTAAATAGCACCACCTCTCTGTCTGATGACAGTACCCTAGTCACAACTAGTATGTGTTTTCTCCCTGTTCTCACCCAAGGATTGGGTCTTACAGGTCTCCTGCTGGGAACGGCCAAGTGCGGTGGCTCACACCTATAATCCTAACACTTTGGGAGGCTGAGGGAGGCGGATCACCTGAGGTCGGGAGTTCGAGACCAGCCTGACCAACATGGAGAAACCCCGTCTCTACTAAAAATCCAAAATTAGCCAGGCAGGGTAGTGCATGCCTCTAATCCCAGCTACTCGGGAGGCTGAGGCAGGAGAACTGCTTGAACCCGGGAGGTGGAGGTTGCAGTGAGCCCCATTGCACTCCAGCCTGGGCAACAAGAGCGAAACTCCGTCACACACACACACACACACACACACACACACACGAAAAATAAAAGGTCTCCTGCTGGGACACAGACTAGTTAGAGAAAGGAAACATAAACAAATGATAGTATGTGTATTAATAAAAGAACTAGCAACACCCACTGCTTAGTTGTGATAATAAAAACTGGACATTAAGATAGGCAGAAAAACAGAACAGCCTTGATACGGTTAACCCTTTGACACTGGCAAACACTGTGACCAGTGCTGCCCACACTGGAAGCTCCTGCATCCCTCTTCCTCATGTTTCCTTCAGCATTAAGGAGCAACAAGGGAGACAGCCAGTTCATAGTTCCTTACGCATGGAGCCAAAGGACCTTCAATGTACAAGGTCTGAGCAAGGACCCGCAGCCACATGTGCTTCCTGCTTCAGCAGTGCCCCGTGGGTCTCAGAGCTGCCCAGAGGCCTATCCTTCCGAGAGGTTCCTCCTCTCTTCCACCTGATGTCATATGTCTCATCTTCCTTGTCATTCAGATCATCAACCACAAACGTCCTTGCCTTATATTTTCATATCCCTTTTCACCAGTTACAGGGTTAGTTAACTTATGAAATTCTTAACATCTGCATTAGATCTTTTTAAAGTTTCACCCTCAACCACCTATTATTTAGAAGTGAACACAGAAATTTAGTTTCCTTGTGCTATCTGTTGACCCCTAAAATATGTTGGGAGTTTTGGGATTTTTTTTAAAGTCAAATGCATGGCATAAAGCAAAATTACACTACTAAAGAACTGAGTCAGGCCAGACGCTGGCAACGTGAAGACAGCTTCTCCTTACCCACTAGGTTCATCTTTGCACTGTAACTCCCAAAGTATTGCTTATCGGTGCTGGGTGTGTGGCATTCATATTCTCCGGCATCCCGGGCCTGAAGATCTGTGATGTGCAATAGGGTTGGGTTCCCCTGGACTCTTTCTATGAAGATCTTCCCTCCGTGGACGCGCTGGGTGTAGATGGCATAGGGGAAGGAAGAGTCTATGGTGCTGATGATCTGCACCTCTCGCTCTGGCGATGAAGGCAGGTAAATGGACCACTGGAAATTCTGCTCAGGAGGTCCCTGGTAGCCACTCACATTGCACCAGATAGTGATGTGGGAGCCCTCTGTGCGGTACAAGGGTCCTTCCTGAACGGTGACCTGCCGCTGTGCTGACACCACACCTACGAGGGAGAGAAACACAGGCAACATGCTCACTTACTTCTCAGACCAAAATGCAAAGTAGGCAGCAATCTCCAAAGGGTTTGTTACTTGTGTGACATGATAATAATATAAACAGCTTACTGGCCCTTTCAAAGGCACTCTGTGATTTATAAATATTAATTAAAACACTCTGTGGTAAAACACTGTCCCTAATTTGCATATATGGGAATTTGATCATGCCAAGATGTGCTTTTGTTACTTATTCAACAGCTGACCCTTGGGAATTTCATTAAGCCCCTCTGTTTGTCATGTATATGGCAGTTTATATCTATTTATTAATGCTGTGTATAAAGTTTTTAATAAAATAAGCAGGAAAAGTTGAATCCTTGGCACAAATTCAGATGAAAACAAATAAAAGCAACCATCTAGAAATCTGGCTGAAATTAAATGCTTCTTCCTTGGTCCGAGTGCTGGTGGGAGGGAGTCCTGGGAGCACCTTTTTACTGGTGCTGCACCCTTCATTTTCCCATGTAGCTGCTCCCCAACACCACCCCAAGGAGCATTCCTTAGTTTCTCTTCCCTCTATAAATGGAGGCAGAGCTGAGCTCCTGCAGGCTGCTATCGTTTTAAGCTGAGCACACCCAAATACAAATGTGAAGGGCTGAAAGAGATCCCTGATGCCCAGATTCCCACAAACTGACAAAGGGGGGAACTAACAGTGCCCAGCTAAACCTGTGACAAGGACAGTCAGGCTACCCTTGAGTTTCCCACTCAAGACTCCCCCGCTGACCTCCTGCCTTCTGGCTCAGATACTGTTCTCCAAGGTCACTTCTGCCTGCCTTCTCCATGTTCTTCTTAAAGTGGCATGGTGAGTTTAAGTTCTCATTTCATGCCAACTCAACACTGATTGTGCCTGAGCCACTCAGAAGGTGGGAGGGGGCACAATGCTGCCTCTTCATTTCGGCAGTGGTCACGTACTGCAGGTTGTGAAAAGCGCAGGTGAGTTATAGGCGCAGCTTTGCCACCAATTAGAGCTGATTGTGTCATCTCAGACAACTTGCTTTTCTTCTCCAGACCTTGATCTTCTCATCTATCACATGATTTCTAAGAAGGCTTTAGAGAGGACTAGCATGGGTTCCGATGCTGGCTTTGTCACTTATTAACTGTGGTCTTGGATAAGCTGCTTAACCTCTCTAAGCCTCAGTTTTCTCATCGGTAAGATGGGGATAATAATGCCTGTCTCATAGGGTTATTGAGAAGATTTAGTAACATCTGTAAAGACCCTAGCACAGAGCCTAGCCCACAATCAGTCCTCAATAAAGAGCTGCTGGCTAAGACATATTTCTGCTGGAACATTCTGTGGCTCTGGATCCATAGAGGACAGGATTTGGCCAATGACTGCTTAAGGACATTTCAATGGCCCCTTGACAATGACACCATCACTGGGCTGCCCGCCTCATCCCACAGCTGCAGCCCATTCTTGTGATAGCTTCCCTTTTCCCCCACAAATGGGAATGGCGGCTGCCCTGGCTATGCCTATCTGAAGTGGATCCAGCTGGTGAACAGCCGGGACAGCTCAAATACTAGTGGAGTGCAGCTCTCTGCCCAGCCCAGCAGGTGACTGTGCCTCAGTGTAAGCTAATCTAATCTGCAAGATGACAGACCTCAAAACGGCCCATACAATGAAATGCCCATGGCTTGCAAAACTTTAATTCATGCAGAACCTTTCCTCACAAACAAAATCTTACACAGAACCCCATCTTGGCTTCAGCAGAATCAGGAAAAATAAAAAATTGGCAGGGGAAGGAAATAAACAGAACAAGTGGTATCTGAATTTATTTGATATATTCTGGTTGATGGCATTAATTATGATATTTAAAGTCACCATGAGGACAACTCATTAGTAATATCAGTATGTTAAAATATGGTGCATAACGTTTTTACTATATGTACAGTCATGCACTGAATAACATTTCAGTCAATGAGGAAACACATGTGCAACAGTGATCCTGTAAGATTATAATGGAGTATATATAGAGATCTAATATATGGCACTTAATGTTGGCATGGCAGATCAAGTAGGGGAAATGACTGATATTTAGTAACAGTGCTGGGACATTTGATTTTCCATAATAAAATATATAAATGAAAATATATATCCCATCTCGGTTTGTTGAAATACACCCTATGATGTTCACACAAGAATGAAATTGCCTAACGACACATTTCTTAAAACATGTCCCCATCATTAAGTGACCCATGACTGTATACACGCACACATATGGTGACATTTGAATCAAATGATTGCAGTATTCCTGAAACACAGAACATTTTGCAAACAATTTACCTACATTCATAGCATTAGGTATCCTTTGAATTGCAGTGTTCTATGACAGAACAACTACAACCAACCCCCATCCATCTCCTGCAAAGAAGGCTGGAGGCAGGTCAGGGTACACCAGCATCTTCAAGGACTGCTTCTCAGTCCTGGACCTACACTGGAATCACCTGGGGAGCTTTAAAAAAAATAACAGTGCCTGGACCCCACCTGACATAACTGGTCTTAGGATTAATTAGGATTTTTTTTGAAGCTCCACAGATGATTCAAATCAGGTGTAGCAAAGCACTGTTACTTTAAAGTGTCTCTACCTACATGGTGCCAGCCAAGTGCTCAAATGAAATATCTTAAGGCTCTCACTAGCTTTAAGTTTCTCTCTTTGGTAGAGACCCAATCACTGGTTCAAGGAAGTTTCATTCTCCTCCAGTCTTCCCCAGTGCAAAAGAAAAGAGCTGAGACCCATCAGATACTGGCTTTTGTGATGCAATAATGAGTTTAACCAGAATGCATCCTATTTACAGACCTTACAAAGGCACTCGGCCAGCGGATCATGCATGTCCTCCCCACCCAAAGGTAAACAGTGTTAAGTGGCCTGAATGAGCCAGGTCAGCAGGGTCAAATCAACTTGTCTAGGCTGGAAGCAGGTTATAAACAATCCGGACAAATAAATAACTACTGGACTGCACTTTAACCACACACATTCAGCTGCACCTGTTTATTAAATACCTCCTTAATTTCCCTCTGCCCCACAAAGGGCTTCTGACCCCTGAAAATAATGCTTCTCAACATAAAAATAATTGTTTTCTTCTTGGCAGTTTAATTCCCCTTCCACACATCCCACCCCCCCATTTCCCTATAATGGTAATACCCTGCTGTGCAGACCTCTGCTGCCTCCAAAGAGACACAGGCACCCAACCCTGACCAGGGCATCCTCTGACCCACAGCCCCTCTATCTCCCCTCTCAACCTACAATAGAAAGTTCCTCCCAGGCAAGGATCATTTTTTTTAAATAACTTTTTTAACTTTAGACATTCTGTACTCTTTGGATTACTCTGCAATAAGCAAATATGACTTCTGTAACATAAAAAGAAAGATCAAAATGTTATATATAACTGCATGAAAAGAACTAGAAAGAAAATACTAGGTGACAGGATGGCAAGTGATTTTTATTTTTTTCTTAATATTTTACTCCTTCCCCCAGTTCTCTGCAATGAGTATGTACCAGTTTTATAACTAGAAAAAAATTTTAGCCAAAAAGAAAAATAATGCATGTTTGCTATATAAAATTCACTACTGTAGTGTTTATATATATATACATATTTGGTCTTTGTCCCCAGTTCCTGGCACTGAGCTCCTAAACCCCTTGGAACTTCCTAAGCAATGGGAGTACATTTTGTTATTTATAAGAAGCCCCTTTTGGCCATCCCAGAGTTTATGCTAATGGGGTGACTGAAGGTGAGCACGGAGGCAGTTTCAAGGAAGGAGCTGGCCACGCTTAGAGTTGTGGAGTTTTCAGCCCCACCCTTAGACCTCCAAGGACAAGAGGGGGACCGCAGATTGATCCAATCAGCATTGGTCAGTGATTTGATCAGTCATACCCATGTAATGAAATCCCATATGAAAACCCTAAATAACGGAGTTAGGAGAGCTTCTGGGTGCTGGAAGCGGCGTGCACCAGGAGAGGGCATGGGCAGTCAGCACTACTCCCCTCTCAGACCTTGCCCTATGCACTAAATAGGACTGACCTATGTGACCAATAGGAAATGCACAAATGGTGGAATGTGACTTCCAAGGCTAGGTCATAAAAAGACAAGCACGATGTTATGAGGACATCAAAGCAGCCATATGGGGAGGACCGCATGAGGCCTCCTGCCAACAGCTAGCACTAACTTGCTAGCATGTGACTGGAAGTAGATTCTCCAGCCTCAGTCAACTCAGTCAAGCCTTCAGATAATGTCAACCCCAGGCATCTTTTTGTTGTTGTTGAGACAGGGTCTCACTCTGTCACCCAGGCTGGAGTGCAGTGGTGCAATCATAGCTCACTGCAGCCTTGACCTCCGAGGCTCAAGTGATCCTCCCACATCAGCCTCCTGAGTATCTGGGACCACCAGCACACACCACCATGCCTGGCTAACTTTTTTATTTCTTATAGAGACGGGATGATATGGTTGGGGTCTGTGTACCCACCTAAATCTCACGTTCAATTATAATCCCCAATGTTAGAGGTGGGGCCTGGTGGGAGGTGACTGGATCACAGGAATAGATCTTTCATGAATGATTTAGCATCACCCTTTTGGTGCTGTGCTCGTTAGAGTTCTCACAGTATCTAATTGTTTAAAAGTGTGTGGCACCTCCCCCCTCTCTCTCGCTCCTGCTTTGGCCATGTAAGGCGTGCCTGCTTCCCCTTCACCTTCCACCATGATTGAAAGTTTCCTGTGGTTGCCCCAGAAGCCGAGCAGATGCCAGCATTATGCTCCCTGAACAGCCTGTGGAACTGTGAGACAATTAAACCTCTTTTCTTTATAAATTCTCCAGTCTCATGTATTTATAGCAATGTGAGAACTGACTAATACATAGGGTCTCACTGTGTTGCCCAGGCTGGTCTCAAACTCCTGGGCTCAAGTAATCCTCCTGGCTTTGCTTCCCAGAGTGTAGAGATTACAGGCATGAGCCACTGAACCTGCCCCTTTCCCCCCAACAACATCTTGATTGCAACCTCCTGGGAGACTCCAAGTCAGAAGTATCCAGTTAAGATGTTACTGACTTTCTGAACCACAGAAACTGTGAGATAATAAACATCTATTGTTCCTTTAAGCCTTAAGTTTGGGGCTCTTTTTTTTACACCAATATATAACTAATGTAGACACCTGCAGTCCCTAAGATTGAATGCAAAATTGTGTTACATACACATGAGTGTGTTCTTCTGGGAAAAGAGTCCATAAACTTCAAAAGATTCTCAAAGGAATCCAAGACCCAAAAAGATTAAGAAACATTGCATCAGACAATAAATTGTCAATGAGCAAGGTCCTGTCCTTTTAGACTGGGTTTTGAAATCACCCATCCCACAAATATATGATACCACTTAACTAGTTTTTCAAGATATTTCTTGTTCAAAGATGCTCCCACTTTTTCTTTGTGCTCAAGTCCTAGATAAACCTGGCTAGGGGCAGGAAGTATGATTCAGGAGTTAGTGAGCCGGGAGGGCTCACTGTTCCTGGGAAAGCCAGCTTCTCATGCAATTTTTGGAATATGCCTTGGCTCAGAAACCTACCTCTCTAGGCATAGGATCCAACTTATATGTTCAAGATGCGTGACTGAGCATGTGAAAGTGTCAGAGGGATCGACCTCACCATTTTACATCTACTTTTCCAGTTGTGGCCCCTACAATCATCAAAGCTCATTCAGCACCATGCTCCTCCAAATTCTGCATGCGACTCAGCCACACTAGTATCTTTCTTCATCTATAAGATGAAAGTAATACAATGCACCATGTAGCAAACTCACAGGAGACCCTAGAGATCAAATAATACTGTGAAAGCCACCAAATGAATATTTTAAAATTTTATCTCATTTCTGCCAAGGTGAGATATCAATCTAAAAACAGGATAAATCTTTGTAAGTACAAGAACATTAAAAAGAACATTAAGTTTGGGTTAAAAATGCAAAACTGCATATGCAGGAAAATTATGTTTAAAAAAAAAAAAATCCTACACCTACAAAAACAACCAAACAAAACATTGATGATACTGGGCTGAATCACTGAATGGTGAGAATATGAGTGATTTTCTCCTCTCCTACTTTTCTCAATACCTTTTCTCTATTATCTCCTTTTTTAAGTAAGCAAGTATATATTGTTCTAAACTGAAGATAAATGATCATGAGTAGCACTTTCCCAGGCACTGTCCTAGTTGCTCTGCATACATCATCTCATTTAATTCTCACAACAGTGAATGGGGTCGATTTCATTACAGCCGCATTTACCAGACAAGGAAATGGTTTTCAAGCTTAAGTAACCTTCTCATGACACAGAATGTGACTAAGAGTTTTCTTATTCTATGGCTCACACTAAATGTGCTGTGTGAATATCAGTGAGAAGTAATAAAGCACTGACTGGATCTTCTTGCCCACCTGGTCCTAAAAGAAATGACGGGGAATCTATGCAGTCCCAAGTTAAAAATGGGAACTGAACTGAGCTGCCACAGCATGCTGAATAGGTGGAATCCAGGCCAACTAAGTGCTTCATGGAACTTAAAGGCTCCAGAGGGAAAGCAATCAGGAAGGCACTTCCACAGGCACATCGGTGACAACTTCTGGGGATTCTTACCTGTCAGCCTTCAGCCAAGGACGGACAGGAAATGGCATGGGCTAAAAGATCCTTTGTTTGACCTCTTTCCAGATCAGGTAACAGGAAAACACAACACTTGAACCTTTTCAATAAGGACAGCCAGCACTTACTGAGCCCCAGCCAGGTAACTGACACTGTTCCAAGTACTCTGCTTGTATAACCAGCTTTAACCTTGCAACAGCCCTCTGAGGTAAATACTCCTAGTGACCTCATTTTACGGATGCAGAACCTGAGGTAAGGAGTTAGGGAGTAAATGAAGCTGGCTAAAGACACTTGCACTGGCCAGGCACAGTGGCTCATGCCTGTAATCCCAGCACTTTGTGCTGGCCAACATGGTGAATCCCCAGCTCTACTAAAAATACAAAAATTAGCTGGGTGTGGTGGCGCACACCTGTAGTCCCAGCTACTCGGGAGGCTGAGGCAGGAGAATCGCTTGAACCCGGGAGCTGGAGGTTGCAGTGAGCCAAGATTGTGCCACTGCACTCCAGCCTGGTGAAAGAGTGAGACTACGTCTCAAAAAAAAAAAAAAACAAAAAAAAAACTAAGCATCAGTCAATAAATCAGACAAAGAACAAGTTAAATTCAAAGAAAGAAAAAGGAAAAACATAACAAACAAATGAAATACAAAAGAAACACACAATAGAATCAGCCAAGCTAAAACTTGTGGTTTTTTTGGTTTTCAGATAGGGTCTCATTCCGTTGCCCAGGCTGGAGTGTAGTGGCTCAATCACAGCTTAGTACAGCCTCCCCCTTACAGGCTCAAGCGATCCTCCCACCTTTGCCTCTCAAAGTGCTGGGATTACAGGTATGAGCCACCATGCCCTGCTAAAACCTGGTTCTTTAAAAATACATTATAAAATTCACAGACCTTTAGCAAGATTTGTCAAGAAAAAGCATTCAAAAAACAATCTTGCACAGGAGGACTGTACTACAGATAGAAAGACTCTGAAAGGAAGTCATAACTTGCAGGCCAAGAATGATGGCTCACGCTTGTAATCCCAGCACTTTGGGAGACCGAAGTGGGAGGAATGCTCAAATTCAGGAGTTTGAGACCAGCCTGGGCAACATGGCAAAACCCCGTCTCTACCAAAAATACAAAAATTAGCTGGGCATGGTGGCACGTGCCTGTGGTCCCAGCTACTTGGGAGGCTGAAGCAAGAGGGTGGCTTGAGCCTGGGAGGTGGAGGCTGCAGTGAGCCATGATTGCACCACTGTACTCCAGCCTGGGCAACAGAGTGAGACCCTGTCTCAAATAAACAAATTCATAATGTAAAATTATGAATACCTTTATGCCAACAGACTTTAAAGCATAGATGACAAATCTTTTTCTTTTTTTTTTTTGAGACAAGGTCTCATTCTGTCGCTCAGGCTGGAGTGCAGTGGCACAATCACAGCTCACTGCAGTCTCGACCTTCCAGGCTCAAATGATCCTCCCACCTCAGCATCCCAAGTAGCTCACACTACAGGCACCCACCACCACACCAAGCTAATTTTTATTTTTTTTGTAGAGATGGAGTCTCACTATATTGCCCAGGCTGGTCTTGAACTACTGTAGTCAAGTGGTCCTCCCACCTGAGCCTCCCAAAGTGCTGGGATTACAAGCATAAGCCACCATACTTGGTGAGATATGAATTTCTAGGAAAAAAAATCAAAATTGACTCAAAAAGTAGAAAAAAAACTTACATAGATTAAATATATTGAATCAGTAATGAAAAAACTTCCCATAAAGAAATTTCCAGGCCCAAGTGCCTTCACCAAAAAGTTCCATGAAACATACAAGAGAAACAAACCAACCAACCAAACAAAAAAAAAAACTCTGCCACCAACACAAACAGAGAATAAAAAAAGAAGACTCCCCAGTTCATTTTACAAGGTTAAAATAAAAATAACCTTGATATCAAAACCCAACAAGGCAAGTGCAAGAAAAAATATTTACAGGCCATCATTATTCAACGTGGATCAGCAATTATTTTTAAGAAGTACTGGCCAGGTGTGGTGCTCATGCCTATAATCCTAGTATTTTGGGAGGCCCGAGTGAGAGGATGGCCTGAGCTCAGGAGTTTGAGACCAGCCTGGGCAACAAGGCAAAATCCCGTCTTTATAAAAAATACAAAAATTAGCTGGGCATGGCAGCACACCTATAGACCCAGCTATTTGGGAGGCTGAGGTGGGAGGATCACTTGAGCCTAGCAGGTTGAGAATGCAGTGATCCCTGATCATGCCACTGTGCTCCAGCCTGGGCAACAGAGTGAGACCCTGTCTCAAAACAACAACAGAAAGATATGCTGACCACCTGTGATGCTGGCCAGGATGGTGTATGCATGCTACGGCCTGTCATTTCCACTGATCACAATTTGAAACTCTGGACAAAATATAAATAACAATGACCCAAGTACTCTGAAAAGTAACCAGCAGACAGGTTGGGAAACGTCAAAACCTGAAGAATTATCTGGATGGCGGTGGTGAGAGATCATATTCTGGGTCATAAAACAAACCCTAAAGTTAAACAATTAAAATTCAGTTAATTATTTTCTCTGATGACAGAATTAAACTAGGAATCTAGAACATTTCTAGAACATCCCCAAATATGAGAAGTTAAATGGCATACTTCTAAATGGCCCCTAGGTCAAAGAGAGTATCTTAAGACAAATCGGAAAACAGTTTGAACTTAATAAATATGACATCATCTTATCAAAATATGTGCTTACAGGGCAATTTATAGCACTAAATTATGAGAAATGAAGCATCAAATCAATAATGTAAGCATTTACTTTAAGTAAAAAAAGAACCAAATAAACTCAAATCAGGCATAAGAAAAACAGACTAGATCAGTAATATTTAAACAAAAACAGTAAAGGAAAAAAATTCAACGAAATCCAAAGTTGGTTCTTTGCAGGGGTGGTGGGAGGTGGAAATCAATTAAATGAGGAAGCCTCTAGCAGACTGACAAAGGAAGAAGAGAAAACGCAAATTGCCAATACCAGAAATGAAAGGAATATTATTACAAATCCTGTAGACACTAGAAGGCTATAATGGATACTACAAAAACAAAACAAACAACTATATGCTTCTAAATTCTACAAATTACATGAAATAGATCAATTCCTTGAAAGACAGACTACCAAAACTCAAGGAGAAACAGACAGCTTGAATACCCCTGTATTTATTAAAGAAACAGAAGTGGCACAGCACTTTGGAAGACAATTTGGCAGGTTCTGATAAAGTCAAATGTAAATGGACCATGTGACTCAGCAATCCTACCCTTAGGCATTTGCACAAGTGAAATGAAAAACTATGCTAAGACAAAAAGCACTTTGTGAATTCCAATCCACTTATAATTTACCAAAAAGTGAAAATAGTCCATATTCCTCCAATGACAAACCAATAAGCAAACCATGTAGTATTTATACAATGGATTACTATTTGGCAATAAAAAGGAATAACTGTTGATACAGTATATGAAAGTAGCCAGACTCAAAAGGCTACATCCTGAACGATTCCATTTGTATAAAATTCTGAAAAAAAAGCAATGCTAGAGGAACACAGATCAGTGATTGCCAGTTTACAATGGAAGGTTTTACTATAAAGGGCAAGGTAATTTTTGGAGTGATCATATAATTTTGTAATCTACCAAAAACAAACATGATAAATGGGCAGATAAGTAAAGTTCATGGATTGGAAAGTTCAATATTGCAAAGGTCTCCCAAAAATGACCTATCAATTTAATCCCAGTGGAAATTCCAATCAGTTTTGTGAAGGCTGCTAAGTCAACTCTAAAATGGCCAAGAATAGACAAGATCACCGGAGAGGAAGCAGGGAGGTGGACACTAGTATCTTCTGATTGATGAGTGAAATCATTAGAAGGCCAGCAAAAATACAAGTAAGCCAGAATTTCTAAAGCACCACAAAAGAACACTAGTTAGTAGTGCATATAGGTATCTCCCAAATTTGTTGTAAACATAGGCCTTTAAAAAATATTAGAAACTGATATTTAAAGAGATATAAACTCATATTAAGCTTTTAAAAAATTCTAAGCAAGGGCCTCACCTAATTTCATAAAAGTTTGCGTAGAACCAACCATTGCTGCCAACGATGTGCTGCCCTGAGATGTGAGGATCCCAGTGGTCCCTCTGGGTCAACAGCAGCTACCACGGCTGAGCCCAAACTCTGATACATTATCTATCTACAATCATTATTTTTAACAATTTATATCAATGCTACCCATAAGGCACAGAGAAGCAGAAATGTTTATGTGGCCTCCTGCCAAAAACAATCACTTGCACTTATTTCTAGTACTCCAGAAGACAGTAATAGAAGTTTTTCAATTTAGAAAAACATTTACAGCAAAGAAAAAAATCTCTGTAAACTTCCTGCTTAACCAATCAAGTGAATTGTGATGAGCCATATAAATTCATTTAGCCACCTTATGAAAGACTTAATCCAAAGTCACTTCTAACTTCTAGAAGAGCTAATGTATTATAATCACAGTTGTGAAAGACTCAAAGGCCAGAACTGTCAAGGTGTGGTCTACATCCTAAGTCCAGAAAAAAAACCAAAAGCAACATGTACAGGCCAAATGATTGCCAATTTCTTCTGCCTACGTCATCTTTCTTCACTATAGCCTGAAATTACATTTCATGTTTGACAATTCTCAGCAAGGAGACAAAACAAGCTTATGAGTAAAATAATAGAAAGCAGAGCCACAGAGAGGACGAGAGGCAGGAGTCATCTCCCAAGTCCAAGTTCAACTTCCATATTATTAGACAGGGCCTCAGTGTCTTCGAACTGCAAGGAATTAATATTGATTGTAGCGTGAGTAAAACCTATCTTCTACTCATCATGAAAAGTCACAGTCGTTTTGTTTAAAGACTCCAGAATTATTATGGGCAGAAACAAGAAGGTTACACACCTATCTGGTGAAATGAGGAATCAGGAATGAGCATTCCCAAGAGAATACAATTACAAAAGTAAAATCACCTAGAGTTTTTGGGCTGCTTAAAAAACCCAGAAAGAAGTGCCAAATGCGAAAATAATCAAATTCAGTGGAAAAACTCACTTGAAGGTATCATGGTCAGCTGGGTTTCCACCCCTTTGTTGCACTTCAAATCCTGTGTATTCCACAAAGACTTGCTCCTTTCTAAAGGCTATGGTTCACGTTCAACAGAACAGCAGCAACCACCATGAGCCTGAGGGCTGGCTAGTCTTTAGTATTCTGCCTTATTCAAAGAAATGATCATTTCCCTCATTCCTAAAGATCTCCCAGGTCCATTACAAAAAAAGGAGCAGCAGCCAGGCGCAGTGGCTCACACCTGTGATCCCAGCACTTTGAGAGGCCAAGGGGGGAGGATCACCTGAGGTCGAGAGTTCAAGACCAGCCTGGCCAACATGATGAAACTAAAAATACAAAAATCAGCTGGGTGTCATGGTGTATGCCTGTAATCCCAGCTACTTTGGAGCTGGGTAACTGGCAGAGGTTGAACAATTTGCAGGTCTCAGAAGACAGGAAACTGTGGGAAAGTTTGAAATTCCAAGAGACTTGTTGAATGGCTTTGACCAAAATGCTGATAATGATATGGACAATGAAATCCATGCTGAGGCAGTCTCTGATGGAGATGAGGAACTTGCTGGGAACTGGAGCAAAGGTGACTCTTGTCACCTTTGATAAGATGGTGGTTGAGGAGAGGTCTTGGCAAGCGGTGATGTGTGAATGTAGTGAGGGGCCTGAAAACGGAACTCAGAGAGGACACTGGGTTTTAGAGGCTGAAACTACAGAAAGTCCGCTGCGTTCAAGGCCTGCTTCCACCAAAATCTAGCAGTGTGGCCTCAAGCAAACCATTTCACTTCTCTTGGCCTCAGTTTCTACATCTGCAAAATGGGATTTATAATCCCTCCCCAGCCCACAGAATTCAGAGTTATATGAGAAGGCTAGAAGAGCTCACCTACCAAGGGACTCTTTTAATGGCAAGGTGGGGAAACTGAGGCACCGAGAGGGCTAGGGCTCTGCTAGCTGTCACCCAGAGTCTGATGGACCTGCGATGAGAAACCAGAACTCCTGCCCCTAGTTCCGCCGGCTTTCCTCAGGCTGGGCAGTGAGTGCGGTGAGATAAAAAGGGCAAGCCCTCCTGCTCTTTCTCTCTGGACAGGGGCGGGATGCTGGGTGAAGGGTGAAAGGAAGAGGCTGGAGAAGGGAGAAAAGCTCCAGCTCACACTAAGTCTGAAATTTTTTAAAATGCGGACTCCGTGGCCCCTCCCTTACCCGCCCCATTCCTCTCTGAAGTCCTGGTTGTGAAGGGCCAAGTCCCAAAGTCTGCTGCTCCGCCTCTCTGTGTGCAGAGCCATGGGGCCTTCACAGGCTGCAGTGGGTCCCGAGCCCCCAGGGCTGTGCCCGCTGGTCCTGACCAAGATCGCGGCTGCCGAGGTCAGTCCAGCGCCAAGGGCACAGGGCCAGGGCAGGTGGGGCAGGGCTACCCGAAGCGCATAGAGGCTGCTGGTGTCAACGTGACGTCTTCTGGGGCTCCTGGCATCCCTAGGAGTGGAAGCCGCTGATGAAGTCAAAGCTGCCTCCTCCTTCAGGAAGACTTTGCTCCCATAGCTGGCGAACAGGAAGCGGAGCAGCGCCAGGAGGATCTGCGGGCGCTGCTGAGGGCTTCTTTGCAGGGACAGTGCAGCAGGCAGCTAGGGACAAGACTGCACGGCAGCCCCCCATGGCCAGGGGAAGTTCAGACCCGAGTCGCCCACTGCCCGGTGATTCTCCATCCCTGGATCGGTACAGGGGCATTTGGACGCTGTGGGGAAGTCGCGGTCTGGGGATATTGGGTCCAGCCTTCGGGTAGAAGCAGGTGATAAACGCACTCAGGCCAGCCCGGAGCGTCAGCCACACTGCGGTGCCCACGATGCCCAGGGTGAGCGCCACGAGGCGCAGGAAATTGGCTAGGGTGGGAGCTCACTGGTAGGTGGCCCTGGAAGTCAAAGATCTGCTGCTCCAGCGCTGCCACCAGTTGCAGGCAGCAGAAGGCGAGGAGCGTGTGGCACCAGCGTACTCGCCCATTGCTCCACGGACCTCTTTATCCAACCTTCAATAATTATTCTTTTTATTATATTCAATGATTATTCTACTTTTCATAGAGAGCAGCTGTCAGTCCAATAACACACTTAACAAATGATATACCTAGTCCTCAAGGTTAACAAACACATGAAGACCAGCCCAACCCTGAAAATCAGTTTGCAAACCTTCGCTATGTCTGATGCCATTCCTAAAAATTTTTAGGGACAAGTTTTGTTTGTGGTAAACAACATAAGGTGGGGTGTGTGCTGAGCCCAAAGCTGACCAATTGCTCACAGTTACTCATAACTACCCATTGACTTGATTTTATCAAACTTCAGACAGTCTTGTCTCCTCTCCTCAGGCCCCTGGACCTTGGCTCACCACCTAAGACTGAACAAGCACTAAAGGACTGACCAGCCCGCTAACAGCTCACTCCAAAAATGAGCGGGACTCCCAGAGAAACTATTTTTATTGGAGCATCCTGGTTTTGCCACCTGCTCACCCCACTGCCTGTCCTTCTCTCCAAGGAGGCTTCTGCCAGCCCTGCTTGTCCTTCCCTAGAAAAGGAAAGCCTTTTCCTGTTTGATCCTGAGACACCTGTAGATTGAGTTTGGAATATTCTCCCTATTGCAATAGTATTTTTGAATAAGTTTTATTTTTCCCTACCTCTGGTTGATTTTTTAATTAATACCAGTAAGCTTGGATGAAAGCCTGCACACCTTAGGTGTGTGTGTGTGTGTGTGTATGTATGTACTTTAGCATTACCATGAATGTAATAACAGTAAAATCAAACAAACACAGATGGATAAGCAATATGTTGGACTAGTATGAAAATGGCATTGCCAGGAGTGATATGATTTTTTTTCAAAATGGTACGCTTTTTGAAGTATAATCTTATTTTAACTTAAAATCTTACTATCAGAAAATGCAGCGTACATTAAAATGTTCTGAACTGCTTTTATTCATATATTAAATGGTTGTACTCAAATATCTACAAATTTGTTTTTCACTTATGTAATTGTCTTTTCGAATGTTCAAAAGTCATGCAGAATGTGAGACAATTTTCTATTGAATACGATTGCTTTATCATTGCAAGACATCAAACATCCCTGTTTCCTGCCAAATAAATGTACAATAGCAATAAATGTAAAGATGTGTTTTGTAAAAAAGGTATATTTTTGAGTTACAAAACAAGGATTTTAAAACTTGAATTGTTACAGTGAATATGTCTTAATACAGGCCAGAGTCATTTAGGTAAAAAATTACCTCACATCTATTCTTTGCAGTATCACTTAAAGGTGTTTATTTAGTGGCAAAGATTTTTTTTGTGCCTAGAGGCAGATATTTTGCCCCATGGCTATTTACTGTATGAAACTGTATTTAAATGAGTGTACATATATAAAAGCTGCCATTCTGGCTGTAAACTATTGCAGGTTATCAAGATTAAAAAATAAACAAATAAAAATATTTCTGTTTTTCTATGAAATGTCTTTACTCGAGTCCAAGTGTAGAGATATAAAATGCTTGAAATTAATAAAACCAAGTGTTTCACGTATTTCAGTTGTGATGGCCTTTGTCCTACTTTTGTTAGTGAAGCAGGCAGACTGCATTTTTTCCCTCTCATACACCTTCAAATGGTGGACAGAAAAATTTGATAAAACTTCTAGGGCATTATCTGATGAAACACATTAAACACTAAAGGAGAAATACAACTTCATTGTTTATAAAAGACGTATAAGAAGGAAACCTGCATACATATATCTATCAGTTTTGTGTTTTCAAGAAATATTTGCCTTAAAATGAACTTCATTAGAATATGTGTTCTCCCACAGAGCCAAGGAAAGTAAGTTAGACACAGGATCTGGAAGTCTACCTGTGTGATGTAATTACATTGAAAACATTCCACAAATAACGCAGAAATGTATCATTGTGACCCAAAATATTCTCTAAATTTTCTCAAAGCAATGTGGCCACATCTATTATCTTTTACTATGACTAGTCATCATTCCATGCATTTGAACATTACCTCACCCATTTGCAGCCTCCTATCTCTGCAATTAATTATGGCTAACATTCTCAGCAGTCCAAACATCTTGCAAGTGACAGCTTGAAAAGGCCTACCAGAATGATGTTCACTCTGCCACCTGACTAGCTTGTCTTCCATCTAGACATTGCAGTATGTAGAAGAGTGCTTTTAGTATTATAAATTTGATCCAACACGTGTTCAATTAGATGAAATCTTAAATATTGCACTACATGTGAATTGGGAAAATGTTAATTTGCTTCTGTAGTTTTAAGTGTATTCTCAGAGGCAGATGAAGACATATTACATCACTGAGTTCAAGAAATAAAGTAAATAGAAGAAAAAAGGTGTTATTTTAGTTTGGTTGTGTTTATATTTGAAGTTTTCTTTTCCAGATTTAGGAGAACCTACTAAATACACTGAAAAAAATGTGGTAGCCCTGGGTTAAATATCATACCTTATTTTTTGTTTATTAATTCCAGGGTAGAGTAGAAAAATATGCTCTCTTATATAATATAAAAATGATATGGGGAAAAGAAATAAAAAATTAACTTAGAGACACCATTAATTAATTTCTTTTATAAATGAAACACTAGGTAGTTTCTATTTGTTTTGACAAATAGAGAATATATTTAGAATCAATGCTTTATTTCTTGGAAAGTGGAGTAAAAAATTTAAATGTAGTATTCAGATTGTATTATAACTATGCACTACAGATCACATACATTTGTCTTTTCTTTGTATTAGACATTATTTAATGGTAAGCATCCTTTCAAGGGCTATTTTATATAAGTAGTAAGGTATCTGGAATTTCTGAAATAATAAAAGTGACCTAAATCACTGTGTTTGGTAAATTCACAATATCCAAATAGCAGGAGGGGAGTGCTAGAGGTAGGGAGGGGAATGCTCATGTTCTCATTATTCCCAAACAGATTCTTAAAGTCTTCTCACTGGACACATGGATGCACCTCTGTAATACCCAATGTCTTAGCCACAACTGTCTGCACTTTTTAATGAGATACATTTCAACATTATTCCTTGTCACCTCAATATCAGATACTTTCTCATGTAATCTTTTACTTCTGAGGAGTTGAATTCTTGATCCATAAACTGAATCCATAGCTATGTATCTGTGGATGTTTTTAAATTATGTGAAAATTTTGTATATGCATTTTTCAGGGGAAAGTATCAGATCACCCACCTGGTGATTGTAACAAAAACAATCACTCCTGTTGATATTTAAGTCTTAATTAATTCAGAAAAATTTGCACACACCTTAAGGTCAGATAGTATTTTGTACCCTACATATAAAAACTCCTTTTTTTTTTTTTGTTTAGATGGAGTCTCACTCTGTTGCCCAGGTTGGAGTGCACTGGCGTGATCTCTGCTCACTGCAAACTCCGCCTCCCATAACATTAATGATCACTGATCACAGATCACCGTAACAAATATAATAATAAGGAAATATTTTAAAAATTGTGAAGATTACCAAAGTGTGAAACCAAGACACAAAGTGAGCAAAGGCTGTTTGTTAAATGGCACCAATAGACTTGCTTCACCAGGGTTGTCACAAACATCTCATTTGTAAATAAAAGAAAAAATGTTCCTATCTGTGAAGCACAATAAAGAGAAGTGCAATAAAATATGTTTGTATTAATTTGGTTAACTTTATTCCAACTTAATGTAAATTAGTTTTAAAACAGTTTATAAAATTCTAAAATGAACCTGGCAAATTTAGAGCAATAATAAAATGATTTAAATTAGAAAAGTCTTTTTTAAAAAGGATAAATAACAAATGCCTCATTGGAATTATTAAAGTTGTTTCAAGTTCAGCTCTGAGGTTCTTAGAAACTAAAGTAAAAAAGTATGACCAGTTTCTGAAGTCAAGATAAAATCATACAATCTTTAACTTAGAAAATTATCTTCTGTGTTGTGTCCTAAGCATAAACAAATGTAAGGACTTGCCCTGACACTCTGTAAGTAGTTCCACTCCAATACGCCCTGCAGAAATGTTTCCTGGCAAGAACAGCAAGTCAGAAGCCTTTTCAGCATGGCAAGGAGGGAGAGAGACTATGCTATTAAAAAAAAAAAAAAAAGATGAGGAGGAACAATAGCACCTTAGACAAGTGAGAAGTTTCAAAAGAGACATGTATAAGGAGAGCAGTTGCAATTATAAGGAGCAAAATATGGAATGATGAAAAAAGATACTTTAAAGAAAGTTTTCCTCAGTACTTTGCAATGCACTTGCCACCTTCTGAAGAAAGCTGGCTCCTCCTGGAACCTTAGGGTATTTGGACCCATGCTTTGGAATGGGGTGACCATCTACATCAAGCTAACTTAAATTCAAATTTGTGTGCATAGGATAAGAATAATTGGGTTAAATAAAATTCACTTTTAATCTAAAATGTCATTCATTAGTTGACCAACTTTCCTTACCACTGGCCACTTGGTCCTTGTCTTGTTTGACCAGGGTTGTCAAACAAGGTTTGTTGTTTCCTTCTTTGAAGGAAAGAGTCAGTGTTTCTTCCATTCCAATGCATCCACTTGAGGAATTTTTAATAAAATGGGCAATGAATGGGAAGCAGAAGAAGTTACAGGCCTGTTAATCAAATGCTAAGTAATACACCCTGGAAATTCTAAACTCGTTTGCATGAAGACCTTGCTTATTTTGTAACTATTATGTATTATCAAACGTATACTTAATTCTTTGAATGTGTTAGTATGTGTTCAAAGTACACCTTAATTTTATATATACATATATTTAAATTACATAAAATAAATAAGCCATAAAAATTTTTAAAGATTTTCTTATATTTCCTTTCAGTATTTTTATGTGCATGCATCTGTACTTGGTAATATTGTTGAATTCATGTTTGCATTGACAAAGCCTCTCCCCTTGCCCAAACTCTAGTCAGGATCCTCTAAGCCTCCTCTCAGCCCCAGCCTTCAGTGTTCATCCTAGTCTGGCCCACATCTCTCAGGTTTAGTAAGAAACTTGCAAAGAATCCCCTACTCTCAGTACTGATCACCTTTGACATCTGATCAAATTTGTTATCTCCCACCACCCTCCAGATGATTTCTGATCAGTCTGGCCTGCCTTCAGTAAGAATCCTGTTCGATCTGTTTAACCCAAATCCCCTTTGCCCCTGATGTTTCCTCTTAGTATCCCCAGTTGAGCCAATTTTCAACCATTAAAAAAATCTTGGACAAAATTAAGTTCAGATAGGTTCCAGAGTGCTTATGTTCAGTTCTTGGCTTTCTGAAGACCTGGCATATCCTCTTTAAATTGCCTCAATACAAGAAAATACAAAATGGAAAGAAGTAGACATTAGAAATTGGAAAAATGGAGAAATACAGGAATGAACATAAGTTTCTATTTCAAGTAATTAGGTAAATTGTAAGATGTTTATATTTAACTTTTTCTCATTAGCTTTAGCCCCTTGAACCTTTGAGAACATGTTATTACTATATTTATCGAATGTCATATTTTTTATTTTAACATAGAATGGTATTTTCACTCAAATCTCTTGAAACATATATTTATAGTCAATAGTTAAATTTTATTTAATATCAATTGTTTCTTTTTATTAGTATTTTCTTAAAAAAATAATATTGGCCTGGCGCAGTGGTTCACACCTGTAATCCCAGCACTTTGGGAGGCTAAGGTGGGCAGATCACTTGAGGTCAGGGGTTGGAGACCAGCCTGAGCAACTTGGAGACAACCTTTCTCTACTAAAAATACAAAAATTAGCCGGGCGTGGTGGTGCATGCCTGTAATCCCAGCTACTCAGGAGGCTTGAGGCAGGAAAATTGCTTGAACCTGGGAGGCAAAGGTTGCAGTGAGCCGAGATCACACCACCACACTCTAGCCTGGGTGACAGAGTGAGACTCCATCTCAAAAAAAGAAAGAAAGAAAGAAAATGCCAGACATTTATTGAAGGGCCGGAATGGTATAGTGAAGTGTTCTGAGTCAGCTGGGCTCTGATTGATACAGAGCTTGGCATGTTTGAAGGACAGCAAGGAAGCCAGAATAGCGGGAGCACAGCAGCGGGGAGACAAGTGCCACAAGATGAGTTGGAGAAAGGCACTGGGAAAGGTTTGTATTTTAAGTGCTCTGAGAAGCAATTGAAGGTTTGAAATAGAATAGTGACTTGCTTGATCACATTTGTACTTTTGAAAAGTTCCTCTGGCTGCTGTGGGGAAAGGCTTGAGTAGATGCAGGGTGAGAGAAGCATAACCAGCAGTAGACTCTTGTAGCAGGTTAGGTGAGAGATGGTGGTGGCCACGAGTGTGCTGCTAGTGGTGGAAGTGACAAGAAGTAGAAGGATCGGAGACAAAACTTGAAGATAAAAAGTCTTGAATTTGCTGATGATTTGCATTGACGAAGTGTTGGGGGAGAGGACTGAAGGAGCAGAGGAGAGTGACAAGGGACTGGATGCCATTTATAAGGATGGGGAAGACTGGGATGAAACCGGTTAAGGGAGAAATTTTAAACATGGCAAAATTAAGAGGGGTTTTGTGTGAGAAAATGGAAATGCTAAGAAGGAAGTTGAAAATCCTGCTAATTTGGAGATCTTTGATTAAAACTAGAAATAAGAATGTGGGAAGCATCAACTTCCAAGATGCCCTCATTGTAGATAACACCATTTAGGATCTAGGCTCAAGCCCTGGGAAACTCCAGGGCTTTGGAAGTCAAATAGAGGAAGAACACGTACAGGAGATGAAGAAAGATTAGCGAGGAAGGCAGTGAAATATCCACAGGTGGACTGCTGCCAAATCCAGTAGAACCGTATGCCAGATGTCAGGAGCATGAGTAAAATGAGAAAAGAGAAATGGCTTTTGACAACACCTCCCTACTAATAGTAGGGAAGAAGACATAGGTACAGATTCAAGTTGATTGGAAATTATGAAAGTGAGGTAACTGACCTGCAGTGGTTGCTGCTCAGTGAAATCAGCCTAGTGATTACCTGAGCTAGGTTAGAGATTTGATGGGTAAGAAAGAACACCTGAGGGTAATCCTGGAGGGAGAAAAATAAAGTGTTTGCTGGAGAGAATGAGTTGGATTGCTGGACTTCAATGTGTGTGGGTTGAGTTTGTGACTTAAAAATTAAACCAGTCTATTGCTTGTGTGGCTTTTCCAAAATACTGTTATTCCATTACCTATCTCTTACCCCAAGAGTAGTCACATTCTTATTTCTGGTTATTTTAATTCCTGGTGGTATTTTTATGTGATTAATGAGATAGTACTTGTTAATTTGATGATATTCTAGAAACCTGGTAAGTACTATGTACCTTGTCTTAAGTTTTGGTTACTTGATTGGCAAAATTATGCATGCACCATTGAATTACCTAATTCAAAATATATTCTTTTATTGTTTGACATTTGTCTTGTTTTTCTTTAAAATGTTATCTTTGTGGAGTAAACATTTTTCTTTATGCTGTTTAGCATCTTCAGATTAGTTCAGGGTATTGCTGAATGTGGTTGTTTGGAAGTAAAATGCTTTAGTTTTAGTTATATAGATTTTAATAAGATACTAATTTCTATATAATTTATCAGGTACTTTAGGCATTTTAATTTGCAAATTTAGGACAATTTGCTTTAACGTTTCTTCACTTTTGTCCATTGGATGTAATTTCCATAAAGTATTCATTTCCCTAAGTAAAAACCGAAACCAAACCGACAACTAATGGTCACTGAAGAAAGAGTGATTAAATGCTAAGATTATAATGGTATTTGCATTTTAATGTTACCAGCTCTCTACAGTTTAAAGTTTATGCATTTATCGATTGCTTATGTTTCTCATTGCATTCTTTGGCCTACTGGTTTTGGTTGTTTATAGCTATAGAATATAGAATTCCTTATGGTTATCCATTTCTCCTTTTAAGTAGATTGATAGTTGGTAGAAGAAAAATAACCCCCCAATACTTTTTTCTAGTGTTAATTCTTAAAGTGTCATTGACTTTTATTTACTTTTTGGTGCAGTAATTGCAGTTCATGAGTCAATGTTGATGTCATATAAACCTTAATTTTTAATATTTCATTGTAGTGATGTCTCTGTAGCAGCAAACATTTAAGTTACTTAAGTTATACTTAAATGTTTAAATCACTGTTAGTGATTAGCTTATTTTGCCTTCCTTGAAGCAATTTGTCCTAAATTTCCATACTTTTGCATTTGTTTTTGCTGTTCTAAAATTCCTTAGTTGCTGGCTTTGACCGTTTATGTTGCTGAGTTTTACACATCTATTTTCTCAACTGCCATATCCTAGGAGGCCTGGAGTACCCATAATACTGTGAGCCCACCTTCCTTGTCCTCAGACATTTCAGAAGGTCGGGAAATTTTTAAACCCAGGCAGCTTCCTGGCAGTGCCATTTGGAGCACAAAAGTGGTAAATAAAATTGCATTTACATTCATATATCATTTCTGTCTGATTTGTTTTGCCCTACTGGGTGTTAAGAATTAAATCTTTCTTTTCTAGATTGAGCTTCCAGAAACACTTTTTAAATCTAAAAATTTTAATGTAAAGAAATAATATGCTTGCATTTAAAAATCAAGTATACATTTTTAATACCTCTTTTTATGGTTAATTCCTTTTGTTGTGATTACTACTGGTTTTATGAGGGAGAAGTCCTTGACATGTAGACCAAAAGGTAATTAAGGACCTTTTCATTCATGATATCATAAAACTTTGTTGCTTAGAAAAAAGCAAAAGAAAAAACTCCATTAATTTATTATGTTCTCATGGACAAGAAATACCAAAATTGTGGCAGATTTCATTGTCTGTTTAATACCTTAAAATGACAAGGCTTTTTCCCTCATGACATTGGTTGATGGCTCTGCCAGTCCTTCAAGTGAGTTAAGTAGTGTGATGCATTTTGAAGAGAAAAAAATTAATTTGAAAAAGTATTAACTCAAAAGTTAAAATACTTCATTGACCGGAGATGACAGTTTTTCTTCATATTCTATATTTAATATTCTGGAATATGGCTGTTTAATTCAGACTAATCAAGGATTTTAAGGAATTCTAGATTATATTTTATTTTCTTTCTTGACTGGAAGAACTATTTTTTTTAACCTCCCTACCTCCGCCTGATATCATCCAAGATATTGAGGTATAAATATACCTCATTTGACAGTTTGATAATATAGACCACCAATTTTTACTTACTTTTTTTCTGGGTCAGCATTTCATGTTTGAGAAAATAAATTGAGAGATTACTGTAGTCTTGATTTTTAATCACTGACTTAATTTTTCAAAAATCTTTTATACCAATTTAATAACAAAACAAACTCGGCCGGGCGCAGTGGCTCACGCCTGTAATCCCAGCACTTTGGGAGGCTGAGGGGGCAGATCACCGGAGGTCAGGAGTTTGAGGCCAACCTGGCCAACGTGGTGAAACCCCGTCTCTACTAAAATACAAAGAGATTTAGCCGTGCGTGGTGGCATGTGCCTGTAATCCCAGCTGCTAGGGAGGCTGAGGCAGGAGAATTGCTTGAACCCAGGAGACAGAGGTTGCAGTGAGCCAAGATCACACCATTGCACTCCAGTCTGGGCAAAGAAGCGAGACTCCATCTCAAAAACAAACAAACAAACAAAAAACCCAAAAAACTAACCTGACCCCATCCATCTGTTGTGCAAAGAAGCTGATGCACTTCTCAAAAGGGATCTCAAGGAGAGCAGGGTAAGAGAAGACAGGAGTGGCAGTTTGAAACTGGGAGCTGGCTGTATTTATTACATCCAAAGAGAAAAAAGCCATTCCTCCTGTTCCTTTTGTTCATGTGTTTCTATTTTATGCTTACCGTATCATCATAAATTTTTGACTTGGAAACCATTCTGCTAAATAGGGAATAAGTTCATTTCAAACTATGATAAGGGACATCAGTTGAAGATATGACATATTATTTAACTTATGGTGAGGGAAACACCTAAGTATTTTCCTGAGCATCTGGATAATTTTAAATATACATAATTCATCTACTTAGGTAGGTGCCAGGTTTTTTCAAGGAGTAATTAATTAGTACAAACAAGGGTGAGGGGGCAGGGAACACCATACTCTGGTACTTAATGTCTGAAATTATCAGGGAATTTAACACATTTTCCCATAGGTTTATTTCTTGTGTAAGAAGTCAGATAAATTATTTCCATTTCAAGTATTTATTATTCAGATTATTTAAAGCAAAGCTTTCACAAAGCCTTTTGTCAGCTTTCCTGTAATCCTCAAATAATTTTTCCTGGCTGGACGCTTTGGCTTACTCCTGTAATCCTGGCACTTTGGGAGGCAGAAGCAGGAGGATCACTTGAGCCCAAGAGTTCTAGGCTGCAGTGAGCTGTGATCACACCACTGCAGTCCAACCTGAGTGACGGATCAAGTTCTTGTCTCAAAAATAAAAGTAATAACAATAATAATAAATTTTCCTCTAAATACAATGGTGAATGAGGTAGAAATGTTGAGTTCATAAGAGAACTGTTGAATAGTGAAGGAAACTGACTTAATTTTAATGACAGGAAGAATACTGTTACACACTAGCAAAAATGAACTTTTATGCTGATGTAGCAGTACAGAATATGCTTCCAACCCAGGGACGCTGGAGCCAGGCTTGCTAGCTAAGCGACCTTGGACAACTTACTTAACCATTTTATTCCTCAGCACACTCATCTCAAATAAGGATAATAAAACCTACTATATGGGATTGTTGAGAGTAAAAAATACTTAGATCAGTACATAGTAAGTACTCAATAGATGTTAGCTATTACTGTAATCACCGCGAGACCAGTTAATGAGAGAGTTCTTCCTTATCCTTACTCTATATTGAATACAATTTGTTGCACTTCGAAATATCTGGATCAGACTATAGTTGTTGTCGTCACTGAGAATGTAGGAGTGGGAAAGAGAAAAATCATGCAAAGTCTTGCTGATAGCGTTCACAGTGACAGCCCGAAAGTATGATTCTAAGGTTGTAAGCATTTTATATTTAGATTTTTAAGTTGTGGAGTATACTTTTAAAGATAAAAATAATAAGCCAGGTCTCTTAATACTTATCTAAAGAAGTGTTTGTATAACATTTAATAAAATGTTTTATCTCAGTGGCATTTGGATTTAAAAATTATTTTGGGCTGTCACAGAATGTTGACTTTTCTTAATCTGTTACATAGGGCTGTGGGTCTGGATTTCCAGGAAAGCGGAGACCTCGAGGTGCAGGACTGTCGGGGTGAGGTGGCCGAGGCAGGTCAAAGCTGAAAAGTGGAATCGGAGCTGTTGTATTGCCTGGGGTGAGGCTTCCTTCATGTATATTTTCTCTAATCTAAATGTCAGTTAATGATGACAATCTCATAGCAAGTTATTTTGAACTTAAGAGTTATATAAATAGGTCAAAATGTTTATTTTACTGTTCTACTTTGCTTTTTTTTTGAGCCTCTGGTTACGTTTTCTTGTATATTTACTTTCTCATCCTTTCTCTATTCTTACCTTCCTCTTTGACTCCTTATCTTTCTATGCCACCCCTCTCTAAAAAGTCAGTATGTAATATAGTTGCTCTTTTACTTAAAAAATTTTAAGATTGTTATTTGCTTACTATCATGTTATAAGGCTTTATTTATATGTGTATTACAAATATATTTGCTAACTACTAGCAAATATTTTACGTAATAACTTCGCTATTTTATTAAAATCCTGTTTTTAAAATTCTAAAATGTCATTTTAAGTATAGGAGACAGGTGAAATTGTTCAAGTTTACTACTAAAGCAGGAATAAGGAAGCTTAGATTCTCGTCCTTTTTTCAAAAAGAAAAATTTTAAAACCAGGCTTATTGAGGTATAGTTGATATAAGCTATATTTGACATGTACAATTCCATAAGCTTTGATATATACATATATATATATACATATACATATATGTATATACATATACACCTGCATTCCCCCTGCCATCCGTCCTTGTCCCCAAGATTAGTTTGCATTTTCTAGAGTTGTATATAAGTGGAATCATACAGAACTGTATGCTTTTTGGACTGATTTATTTCAGCACAATTATTTGGAGATTCATCTATGCTGTTGTACTTGTTAACAGTGTACTCCCTTTTCTTGCTGAGTATTAATAAAACTGTGGATGCACCACGGCTGTAGACCTGTGCACTTTTTTTCTTCTTCTTTTTTTTTTTCTGAGACAGGTTGTCGTTCTAATTCCTGGCTGGAGTGCAGTGGTGCGATCATAGCTAACTCCAGCTTCGACCTCCCACCTCTGTCTCCCAAGTAGCTGGGACCATAGCTGTGTGCCAACACACCCAACTACTTTTTTAAAATTTTTAATAGAGACAGCATCTCACTATGTTGTCCAGGCTGGTCTCGAACTTCTGAGCTCAAGCAATTTTCCCACCTTGGCTTCCCAAAATGCTGGGATTACAGGCGTGAGTCACAATTCCCCAGCCTGTAGTCTTACATTCTTGTAATGTCTTCGTCTGGTTTTGGTATCAGCATAACTCCAGCTTCATAGAATGAATCAGAAAGTATATTCTCCTCTTCAGTTTTCTGGAAAAGTTGTGTAGTAGTGGAAATGTATCTTCTTATACATGAATTTATTAGTGAAACCATCTTGGCCTGAAATTTTCTTTGTGGGGGGGTTTTTGTTGTGTTTTCTTTTTTTTTTCTTTCTTTCTTTTGAGATGGAGTTTCGCTCTTGTTGCCTAGGCTGGAGTGCAATGGCACAATCTCAGCTCATGCAACCACTGCCTCCCAGGCTCAAGTGATTCCCCTGCCTCAGCCCCCTGGGTAGCTGGGATTACAGGTTCCTGCCACCATGCCTAGATAATTTCTTTTTTTGTATTTTTAGTAGAGACAGTTTTTCACCATGTTGGCCAGGCTGGTCTCGAACTCCTGACCTCAGGTGATCCACCTGCCTTGGCCTCCTAAAGTGTTGGGATTACAGGCATGAGCCACCATGCCCAGGCTGGAGTGCAGTGGCGTGATCTCTGCTCACTACAGCCTCCACCTCCCAGGTTCAAGCAATTCTCCTGCCTCAGCCTTCTGAGTAGCTGGGATTACTGGCATGCACCAACATGCCTAGCTAATTTTTGTGTTTTGGGTAGAGATGGGGTTTTGCCATGTTGGCCAGGCTGGTCTTGAACTCCTGACTTCAGGTGATCCGTCTCCCAAAGTGCTGGGATTACTGGATGAGCCACCAGTGCCCAGCCTGTGGGACAGTTTTTAACAACAAATTTTATTTCTTTAATAGGTACCTATTTAGGTTATCTGTCTCTCCTTGCATAAATTTGCATCTTTCAAGAAATTTGTTCATTTTGTCTATCTTGACAAATTAAAGGAATGGAGTTGATCATAATGTTTCTTATTATTTTAATACCTGTAGAATCTGTAGTGATTTCACCTTCCTCATTCTTGATACTAATAATTTGTATCTTGTCTTATTTTTTTCCTGATCAGTCTGGCTAGAGATTTATCAGTCTTATTGATCTTCTTGAGTCAGCCTTTGTTTTCATGGACTTTTCTCTATTTTCTTTCCTCTTTCTGTTTTATTGATTTATATTCTCATCTTTATTTTTTCCTATCTTCTCACTTTGAGTTTAATTTGATCTTCTTTTTTTGTTTACTCTTACGTGTCCCTGTTTGGAAGGGACACTTGTGAAGTTTAGGTCAGAGCTTTCTATTCTCCTTGGCTTATATCTGTGGTCTGTCTAGGAAAATGAAATTTCTATCACCTTCTGGATAAATCACACTATTATCTATGCAGGCAACAATAGCACATATTTTCTCAAAGATTACCTTTGCCCTCAAGTTAGGTTTTATTTTTCTAGCAGTCTAAAGGTCATGAAATAAATTATAAAATAAAAACAGTGGGTCTTCAAGCTAGATGATACTGTTTTCTTTCTTGCATGGACAATTATTTTAAAATATTTTGGTTTTTCTGCACTTATTATTTAAATATGACTCCCCACCCACACTTGAATCTAGGGACATTGTAGTTTTCTACTGCAGACTTTGTTTCTGGTTTATACTGGGAATATATTGTTTATCGTTTTCAGTGAAAGCATTCACTGTTTAAATTTCCTTTTAAAAATAATAATGGATCTTTACAATTTCTTTGAGCTGCTCAGTGTGTATAATGTGTTGAATTTTCTGTTAGTGGTTGGGAGGTGGAAATAGATACTTTATCTCTATTTTAGCCATTTCCATAATTATATATCTCAATAGTCTTGTCAATGCATCATTAGTCCTATGACTGAATTAATGATTACTTTCAGTAGTCACTTAATTTCTTACTGATGATGATGATTCTACTTCTGTGAATCAACTTGGATGATTCTCTAAAATCTTAGAAAGCTAATTTTGTTAATGCTATGCATATAACACATCAATACATTTTCTCTATTAAAAAAATTAAAGTGTTATAGGTAGATCAGAATTTACCATTACTAACTCCTCAGTCCTCCTTATTTCCCTGTTACCAGTTTGGTATATTTATATATTAGGTTGATCCATATGAAATTGCCAATATTATTTCTGAACTGATGAAAAGTAGCAATTTCTTATGAGTCAACCTGTTATATGTGCCCATAGACTACATATAATGACTTTGCATGTTTTTATATTATAGTGCTATACCTCAAATACTGTTCTGCAATTTATTTTTTCACTCAACAGTGTCTTTTTGATAATTTCTTTCATGGCAGTCTATACAAGTTTCTACCTCCCTACTTTTAAAATGTTTCGTACTTTCGTAATGTTTGGATTTGTCATGGCTTTACTTACTCCCTAATGATGAATATTGGCATTATTAACACTTGTAGTCATTAGGGTTCATATGACTATAAATTGCTCTTATAAAGCATTAGTACTATTCATTAAAACTGCTTTTAGGCTGGGCATGGTGGCTCATGCCTGTAATCCCAGCACTTTGGGAGGCCGAGGTGGGCGGATCATGAGGTCTGGAGATCGAGACCATCCTGGCTAACATGGTGAAACCCCATCTCTACTAAAAATACAAAAAATTAGCCGGGCATGGTGGCAGGCGCCTGTAGTCCCAGCTACTCAGGAGGCTGAGGAAGGAGAATGCCGTGAACCTGGGAGACAGAGCTTGCAGTGAGCTGAGATTGTGCCACTGCACTCCAGCCTGGGTGACATAGCAAGACTCCATCTCAAAAACAAACAAACAAAAAACCAAAAAAAACACTGCTTTTAAATGTATTTGTATTGAAAAATACTGAGATGTAGTCCTATTTAGTTAACCAACCAACCTTCCTTCCTTCCTCTTTTTTTTTCTTTTTCTTTTTTTTTTTTTTTTGGAGACAGGGTCTCTCTCTGTCACCCAGGCTGGAGTGCAGTGGCGTAATCTTGGCTCACTGTAACCTCTGCCTCCTGGGTTCAAGTGATTCTCCTGCCTCAGCCTCCTGAGTAGCTGAGACTACAGGCATGTGCCACCACGCTCGGCTGTTTTTTGTATTTTTGGTAGAGACAGGATTTCACCATGTTGCCCAGGCTGGTCAACATGCCAGGTTGCCTGTCTCAGTGTGGTCAGTGTTACCATCCATACTGTGTCAGTATTAAGGTAAACATCCTTAAATTGAGTTAACAAATATGTACTGAATTTTTATTTGGTTTTAGTAGTAACATGAGCTCCCAGTTCTCACAATTAAGTATTATGATTATTAAACATATGTGACAGTATTTAAGCACTTTAAATACTGCTTTTAAGGGTTTCCTATCTGAAGAAATTTGCTCCTCTATAAATCTTATATTGTACTAATATCCTGCTTTTGTCTTGAAAAAGTAAAACATAAAAATATATGCATTTAATTTAAAAGACAATTTATACTATTCACAAAGATTTTAGGTTTAGCTGATTCATTTTGTCTGTTGATTTAAAAAGCTGAGAACTGGAGTATTTAGTAAAAAATTATTAGCCTATTCTGTTCTTTACCGCATTCTCTCTCCTCTGTGCTCACTCATATACAAAATGACATTTTCTCCTTATAGCCAAAAGAAACAAAACAAGTGTCATATTTAATGCAATTGGTAATAATCGAGAGTCAGCACTGCTCACTTTCAAGCATTTCAGGATAGAGGCTTTCTGTGGAACCTTTTAAGTGGTATCGTGTGCTTGGTTTTAAATATGGACAGGTCTCAATACTTCACTAGTTGTATCTAAGGTTCTTGGTTTTTTCTTTTTAAGAACTCAGTCTTAATAAAACTTACATATTTGAATAAAGTGTCATGGCCACTGGAAGCAAGCATGGAGGTATAGCTGTACAGCAGAGGTCTTAAACTGTATACTCCACAAGGAAATCTTTTCTAGTATTGCCATACCATGTAATATAAATACTAACCTCAGTTTCAATAATAGGTTGTGAACCATGAGTGATTTTTATACCATTCTCCCCTGCCCTTCAGACATCACTGTGTTATATCATTGTCAGTAAAATGTCAGTATAGTAAGCAAATCAACATTATCTCCTTCAGACTTCTTTGTTGATAACTACACTAGTATTTATTTTATAGGGTAATACAGGTTTTTGTGAATTTAGGAATCAAAATGAAAGATTGTAATTAATACTATCCAAAATAGAAGACTAGTACGGTTAATTTATGTAGTTTTTTAAAATTAGTTGCTCATGGTATGTGACTGAAAAACACAGAGTATATAAAGCCAATTAAAAATGGAGTTATATATGCATAAAACATGTTTCTTTTCTTCTTTGTACTTTATATTCTGTATAAAAGTAGCTGCTATCATTAGATTTTGTTTTTTAGAATACTTAATGTTTTGGACCTAAGGAAATTGAATAAGATCCCTTTCAAGGTAGTAATGTATTTCTTTTAACCCATCCAACAATTACCGAATTCCCATTTTACAGATGAGTACGACTTACATAAGTTAAGATTGGACAATTAGTGCACTATCAGACATCTAGTTATTCCTGTTTTTAAAAATTATGTGTGGTTCCTTTTATACGACACTGTTTTGGACAGTATAGAATACTGCAGTCTCATTGAGAAATACAGCAATATCTAGAAATATACTAGGGATATGTGAATTGGCTCAGCTTGCATTTTTATTGCAGGAGGCAATTGTTTGTGGATAAGTTTGATACCTTTGAAGCTTCTTTTTAAGCTTGCTGGGGCAAGTCTAGAAAGCCTTCACTCTAAGGTGGATATTTTCAAACTTTATGGTTTTAGAACCTTAACACTCTTTAAAATTACTGGGGACGCCATAGTTTTTGTTCATGAGGATTTTAACTATGGACTATTCAGCATTTTAGAAATTAAAACTAGGAACATTTTGTAACACAAGACTACAGAAGCACAACCTGTACAATGTCAATGTAATATTATGATACAACATGTAGCTTCTATAAACACCACTGTATCATTGTGAATAAATTAAAGTGAAAAAAGGCAAATTAAATCTTAGTATTATTTAAACTTGTTTTAACTTTACAGACCCACTGGGGTTCCCTAGTCCACATTTTGGTAGCTGCAGTCCTAGCATTAGTTTAACCCTATACTTAAGACTTGGCCTTTCTGGGATCACTACTGAATTCTACCCCCTGTTCACCAGTGTCTTTGTACTCTGACTGGTTGTGCTTCACTTGTCTTTGAGCCTTTTGCAAGCTCTGGTAATTGTGCAGCTTACAAATTCCCAGTAGATGTACTTTCCCCTGGTTGTGGGTCTTTGGGCTTCTAGAAGTACGGCTTGGTGTTCCACCAAAGACTTCAGGGGATCCTTTGTAGGTTTCTGGAGCTCTTAGTCCTTATTGCTTCTTCATTTTGAGTACTGTGTCCTGCAAATTCCACTGCCTCGCCTTCCCTAACCTCAGCGAGGCCATTGATTTTACTCTGCTGAGGTTCTCCCTCCCTGGGCAGCGTTCTGGAAAATGTTTCTAGGCAGAATATCATAGGACTCCCTGAGTGTTTCCTTCCTCTCAGAGACCACTGTCTCCTTTACTATGTGTTGTCCAATATCTGAAAACAGTTGTTTCATACACTTTGTCCAATTTTCTACTATCTTATGGGAGAACAGGCTGGTCCCATCTACTCCATTATCATTGAAGCATGTATCAGTATTAGATTATAAAACATATCTGTAACAACTTTGGACATGGTACCATGGATGGAATCCTGGATGACATCTTATTTGAAAAAACTTTTAAAACTAAGGCTAAACTGGTTCAACGGAAGAAAAAAATGATAGTACAACCCCAGTACCTAAGTTAAAAGGAAATTTCAAAGAGGGAGAAATTGTTGAAGTGTTGAAGTACCAGAAGTCAAGAAACACTAACACTAATGTTTCCATTAGATTTGAGAATAAGAAGGTCTTGACAAGCCTGGCTTAAGCAGTTATGAGTGGATGTGGGTGTAGAGACCAGACTGTAGTGTTTTGAAGAGTGAATATAAGTGGAGAAACTTGAGAGTTTGGTTGTAAAAGGGACCACAGGTATCTGTGAAGAAAACTTAGTAGGAATGAAGATAAATATTTTAAAAATTCTACCACTAAACACCTCAGATCTGTCTGCCACTTTGTCTTCAGGTCATTGTTTAAGCCAGGGTCAGGCAGACTGGCCCATAGACTAAATCTGGCCCATTTCCTGTGTTTGCAAATAAACTTTTATTGAAATATGGCCATGTTCTTTGTTTACATATATTTGTAGCGGTTTTTGCAATACACTGGCAGAGTTTTTATAAAGTTGCAACAGATCATATGGCCCTCAAAACTTTCTGTTTACTCTCTGGTCCTTTATTGAAAATATTTGCTGGCTACTGCTCTAAGCCACCCTGATCTTACCCCAGGCCATTTCCTTCATTTGGGCAAATAATATACTAACTTGGTAATCTAAGACAAATTCTTAAAAATCAATAAGCTAATCAAAATAATGAATATACATGTTTAAAAATCAAATGACATTAAAAGCCTTGTAATGGGCCGGGTGTGGTGCCTCACACCTGTCATCCCAGCACTTTGGGAGGCCGAGGCGGGTGGATCACTTGAGGGCAGGAGTTCAAGCCAGCCTGGCCAACACAGTAAAACCCCATCTCTACTAAAAATACAAAAATTAGCCGAGTGTGGTGGCTCATTCCTCTAGTCCTAGCTACTCAGGAGGCTGAGCCAGGAGAATTATTTGAACATGGGAGCCGGAGGTTGCAGTGAGCTGAGATCACACCACTGCACTCCAGCCCAGGCAACAGAGCAAGATTCCATCTCAAAAAAAAAAAAAAAAGGCCTTGTAATGAACAACCAACTCTTGTCTTACTCTACCTCCACATCTGAGGCAATCACTTTTAATCTTTTCAGGTCTTTTTTCTTGTGGTTAATGCTATAGCTCTAAATAATCAACTGGTTTACTGCTTTATCAATGCTAGATTTTGTTGACTTTCTGCTATGAATAAATAAATTCTGATTTAGGTCTTAAAATACACCTCCTTCCTTCTCCCAATATAGTTGTATTACTATGTTTAGTTCAATTAATAAGGTGTTGGTTATGACTCAGTAAATGTTCACTGCAGATCTAAACAGTATACTATGAGTTTCTTTTGTCTTTCATGGAGTTTTTAATAACAAGAAAGTAATAGTGACTCTCCATTCGTTCTTTGTTTTTGCCTACTATAGAACTATCATATAAGATTATTTTTTAAAGTACTGTTTTTTTCTGGGAGAAGTCCTACCCTCCTTCTAGACATTCCCTTCTCCTGCTCTGATATGTGCCAGTGGCTTCTGGGTGTGTTGTTCTCATCCTTAAACTTCCCTGGCCTGATGTCCTTTGTTGGATCTGTTGATTTATAGATCCCAAGTCTTCCTTTTCTTTGTAATACATCTTCATTCTGTTCCGCATATCTCTAAGTAACTTTATTAGAAGGAGAATGAAGGAGCTGAATTTTGAATCTTCCTGTGTCTACAACGTATTCTGTCTTCACACATAGTTGCTTGTGTAGCTAGGTTGAGAATTGTACTTTGAAAAGTATTTTCCTGTAGAATTGGAAACTTATACTCTTCTAGCATCTGGAGTTGGGAAGTTTTGTGCCATTCTGATGGGTGTTCCTTTGAATTTAACTCTTTTATTTTCTTCTCTGGTAGCTTTTAGGCTTTCATGTACCTCATGATCTGAATTTTTATTCTGTACCCTCATTACTTGCTGTTTCATTATAATGTGGGCACTTGATTGGTTCTGTCTGAGGATCCTAGTCTTTTGAGATCTTTAAGAAGTTCCGCAATCTTAATATTACATGGTGTGGCTTCCTTCAGTTGTTTGTTAGGGATTTGGAGATTCCCAAATATTCTGCTAACTTATACCCTTGAGAGAGGGGAGAATAAACAGAGGGGTGAATGTGAACTTCAGAATTCCTAGCTTCATAGTCTAAATAGAAATCCTCTAAGATCATAAAATGTCCCTAAGAACTCATGCTTTACATTAATTTTTTTTGGTATTTTTTCTATTGATTCTAAGCATGGAAATGTAGATGGAGATTTTGTTGATGTATTTTCAATTATGTATCAATAATAGTGAAGCTTACTTGATTTCTTTAAAATCTGGTCACTATATCTATAAATATAGTGGACATTAAATGTACAGCATAAGGTAATTATGTGGACTTTAAAAAGGCATTAAAATATGTGCCATTGTCTATTACTCTGCTCAGTAGGCTCCTAAAAGCGTGTATGAACATGCCCAACCCAGTATTGGGCCTCCGTAGGTGCTCAATAAATGTTAGTTGATTGCCCCTTTCTGCTTCTAGGTACATAAGCACCATATTAATTTATATAGTATATTTGATTATGTTAGGTTAATGCATAAATCACATGGATTGGTTGTTTCTTTTACAGATCACTAAAGTGGTTCTTAGCAAAGGTTGGAGGTGTCTTGAGTGCACTGTTTGTGAGGCCTGTGGGAAGGCAACTGACCCAGGAAGACTCCTGCTGTGTGATGATTGTGACATAAGTTATCACACCTACTGCCTAGACCCTCCATTGCAGACAGTTCCCAAAGGAGGCTGGAAGTGAAGTGCAAATGGTTCTCTAGGGTTTGTTTGCCTTGTTAGTCTTTCAAGTTCAGAGCTTTCTCATACCACTTTAGTTTTTAAAAATTAGCCATACCTATTTAATTGAATAATACACATATTCTATGATACATACCACTAAGCAGAAAAATTTTCACATACACATTAAATCATTTGCCCCATTATGTTCGTATGTAGCTTCCTGAATTACAGTTACTGAATAACTAAGAAAATAAAATGGAGACTTTTCGGGGGGATTTGGATTTCAGGTGTGTTTGGTGCAGACACTGTGGAGCAACATCTGCAGGTCTAAGATGTGAATGGCAGAACAATTACACACAGTGCGCTCCTTGTGCAAGCTTATCTTCCTGTCCAGTCTGCTATTGAAACTATAGAGAAGAAGATCTTATTCTGCAATGTAGACAATGTGATAGATATTGTGCTATTTTTTCATCTTTTTAAAGCTTTTCTCTTTGAAATGTAGCAAAAAAAAAAAAAAAAGGAAAATAGCTTTTCCTTAATCACAAGTTTTAGGTACAGAACTTTTTGCCTTGTAGATTTTTAGTCACCTAGAATCTTACAGAATTGATTTCCTGTTTTGAATTCTCAACTCCAGACTAAAGTTTTGTTTTGTTTTGTTTTGTTTTGTTTTTAAATTTAGAGACAGAGTCTTGTTCTGTCGCCAGGCTGGAGTGCAGCAGCGCTATCTTGGCTCACTGCAAACTCCACCTCCACCTCCTGGGTTCAAGCGATTCTCCTGCCTCAGCCTCCGGAGTAGCTGGGACTACAGGTGCATGCCACCATGCCCAGCTAATTTTTGTATTTTTAGTAGAGACAGGGTTTCACCATGGTGGCCAGGATGGTCTCCATCTTTTGACCTTGTGATCTGCCCGCCTCAGCCTCCCAAAGTTTTATGATTATAGGCGTGAGCCACTGTGTCCACCCAAGACTAAAGATTTTTAATTTAGGCCTTTTTGAGGGTTTAGGAATCCCTTGAAATTAGATGGAGAATTATTGCCTTCATCTATGCCGTTTCTTATGAAGGGTTTCTGAATCTTTTAATTGATTATAAAAATATCTAACACTTTCTGTTCTCCTTAAACCACTTTCTCTTAAAGCTCTAGATACTAGATATCTAGGTATTAGATAGCACCTTCTGCCCTCCCTACGTAATTATGTGGAATTTCAAAATCAAGAATGTTTCCTTGCTTTCATTGGTATATTGTTGTACTCTTTAGAAGTTAAGCAGTGAACATATATTGATAGTATTATTTTATCAGTAGTACAGTATTCTTGGGACTCTGGCTACTAATTATTTGTTCCATTGCAAGACAACTTTTTACTTTATTTCCCAATTACCATTCAACATCGCTTTCCATGAGATATGTCTACTTCAAGTGAGATGCATTGCCTGGAGCCCATATATGCTAGCACTGCCATTTGCCGTTTTCTGAATACCTTTGTGTTTGCCCTAACTAGCTTCCTTGCTGTCTTTGAAATATTTAATATATGATGATAAAATAATTAGCTTCCTTATGTAATGTGCTTTGCTTCCTCTCTAATAGTTGTTCTCATTCCTTTTTATTTCCTCCTTAGCTCTATGAAAGTTTTTCTGTTACTAGGGATAGTTAGGAGAAAAGGGCAAGGTAGGAGGAGCATGTGAGGCTTAGGGCTTTTAAGTTTGAAGACTCAGTGTTACAGGTTTTAAAAGGTAGCAGTTCTCAGTATATTCCATTTTTTAAAAAAAATGTACAAATATGGTCTTTTTAGATGGATGCATGCAGTTCGTCAGAACTTAAATACTGAGGAAGAAGTGGAAAATGTAGCAGACATTGGTTTTGATTGTAACATGTGCAGACCCTATATGCCTGCATCTAATGGTAACAGAATAATTTAAACTGTGAGTCTGCACTCTTGTACCACTCTCTTGCACCTTACTGTCCATAACCAATGAATTAGCTTAGCTCTACTCTATTTTGTCTTTGTGAAACTTACTTTGACAAGTATTTTATGAAAAATATTATTGTTGGTTATACATGACTTATCACAACTTGTTATAAAACAATTTACATGAAACAATAAAAAGCATATACTTTAGATGTAAACTATAATTTTGCTTCCAAGGAACATGATCTTGTAGTTATTGACAATATGTCAAAATCCAATGTGTTGATTCTTTCTTAGCCAGGTTTTCCTCCATGACTTGAGTATTTCCTTCATCACTTCTTGTTTTGTTGTTGCTTTAAAAAGTGCTTTTAACTTTAGTGTTCAAACATTTATTTTAATAAAATGAGTATAGAAACAGAAATTTTAATCATATATAAGTATGTAAATACACTTTACCTTTTCTGAAAAGAATTACCTGGATTTTTTTTTTTTTTCATTTCAGTGCCTTCCTCAGACTGCTGTGGATCTTCACTTGTAGCACAAATTGTCACAAAAGTAAAAAAGCTAGGTAAAATTTGAAATGCTTTACTTAATTTAATTAATTTACTTTGCTTAATTTTTACATAATTGGCTTACCACTTCTAAAATCTGCTTCAATCATATGGGTGTTCTATCCAAATTCCATAATGTTGGTAATCATTTCCACAATGATATATAAAATGTCATCCAGCTTTACTGGGGCAGTATTCCTATAAATTTCAGCAAGTTGGCAATAAAAATAACAGCTCTTAGAATAACCATTAATGCCATACTTGCTTTGGTTTCATTGATATATTACTGTGCTTAATTATCAGTTAGCAGAAAATACGGCCTAGTTAGCAAGCAGATTTCTTTTAGAATTAATTCAATCGCTTAATTTTTTAAAATAATTAATAAGCCTAGTATGGTGATTAATATGATATTCTTATTAAACAGTCATTCTTTTGAATACTTGTATTTAATAGCACCTGATACAAAAACATTTGGATAGTACAGGAATTGTTCTAAGGAACAACAGTTTTGTATGTTTAAAATTAAATCTGCAGGATTTGTACTTATTTATTACTTCTCCCTGTTAGTAATTATGTTGATACTCTGATTTTTCCAGATGAGCTTCTGGAGTATTCTCTCTCCTCTTGTGTAAATAGATCCCTGCCTTTTGATCTTTTCCAGGAAAAAGCTCATAGTGGATTAGCTGAGCATTGCATTTATTTGCAGTGCTTCTAACTCTTTTTATTGGGACATGAAAAAAGAAATGCCAGGAAGACTTTTTTGAGACGGAGTCTCGCCCTGTCGCCCAGGCTGGAGTGCAGTGGCACGATCTTGGCTCACTGCAACCTCCGCCTCCCGGGTTCAAGCAATTCTCCTGCCTCAGCCTCCCGCATAGCTGGGATTACAGGTGCCCGCCACCACGCCCGGCTAATTTTTTGTATTTTTAGAAGAGACAGAGTTTCACTGTGTTAGCCAGGATGGTCTCGATCTCCTGACCTCGTGATCTGCCTGCCACCTCGGCCTCCCAGAGTGCTGGGATTACAGGCATGAGCCCCCGCACCCAGCTCAGGAAGACCATTTTTTAAAAACATGTAACATTTCTGCCCATAATCCAAGGAAGTTTGACCTATTGTTCCTAGTTTTTATTGGGTATCATGAAGTTAATTATTCATGCATTTCATAGATACATAATTGTTTTCTAGAACTACAGTCACATTCCCTTGACATGGGTATTTTGGAACAGTAATCAGTCAAATTTAAAATGAAAGTTTAAATTTGTATTCTTGGGATTTTGTAATTTTAGACCCACCCAAGACTTATACCCAGGATGATGTGTGTTTGATTGAATCAGGGATGACTCAGTTACAGAGCCTCACAGTTACAGTTCCAAGAAGAAAACTGTCAAAACCAAAACTGAAATTGAAGATTATAAATCAGAATAGCGTGGCCGTCCTTCAGACCCCTCCAGACATCCAATCAGAACATTCAAGGGATGGTGATATGGATGATAGTCGAGGTAATACTAATTTATTTTCCATGAAATTAGTGCAAGAATTACAGCATATAAAGTAACTTTTGAAATATGTGTATGATTTACCAAAGGGTAAATCACACTGACTTAGATAACCCCGATGTGACCCTTGCCATCTCCAAATGAGTGATCTTCTTAGACCTTGCCTTTTCGGGTTCTCTTCCTTTCACACATTTTAGAACAGACCTACCTTACAGAAATCTCAAGGAGCACCATATCTTTGAAGATCACAGGTGGGGAACTACAGAGGGCTTGACTTTAGTTTGCTAGATAATGACACAAACCTTCTCAGATACTGTGAGCTTGGATAATACCATGTTTAAGTTAAGGTAGTTGATGCATACATTCTAGAAATGGAAAAGCTGTCATTTAATATTACTTCAGGTATAACTTCATATTCACCAGTGTGCATCATAAAGTATTGGTTTAAAAACATTTTCTTAATCAAAGTAAATATAAGGTTTTTCCAGCTGAATTCTTTTTTTTTTTTTTTTTTTTTTGGTTGGGAGACAGGGTCTTGCTCTGTTGCCCAGGTTAGAGTGCAGTGGCATGATCTTGGCTTACTACAACCTCTGCCTACTGGGTTCATGCGACCCTCCTACCTCAGCCTCCTGAGTAGCTGGGACCATGGATGTGGGCCACCACGCCTGGCTAATTTTTGTATTTTTTTGTAGAGATGGGGTTTTGCCATTTTGCCAAGACTGGTCTTGAACTCCTGGGCTCAAGCCATCTGCTCTGCTCAGCCTGCTGAATTCTTGAGATAGCAAAATATTTTAATAGTAACCTAAAATCCAATATGAGTTAAAGAGGATTACTGTAGGTTTGCTCATTTTTGGGGCGGTTATTTATTTTCAACTGATTCAGAAATGAAGCGATAATTATTTCTGTTCCATTACATTTTATTTCATAGTTTTTTTTTTTAAGGGGCAGTGTCTTGTTACATTGCCCAGGCTGGTTTCCAATTCCTGGGCTCAAGTGATCCTCCTGCCTCAGCCTCTCAAGTAGCAGGTACTATAGGCATGCGCCACTGCAGCCGGCTTTGAGACAATAGAATTAATTGAATACCTACTGTATGTCAGATGTTGGAAATCATATCAGTGTACAAAGCAGGTAGAATTCTCTGCATAGAGTTTATATTTTAATGTTAGGTAACCCAACTTTTAAAAAAAATCAGTTAATTATAATGTGTTTGGCAAGGCCCATGGTAAATATAAAGTTTGATAAAGAGGAATTGCCTGGCCAGGCACAGTGGCTCATGCCTGTAATCTCAGCACTTTGGGAGGCCAAGGTAGGTAGATCACTTGAGGTCAGGAGTTCGAGACCAGACTGGCCAACATGGTGAAACCCGTTCTCTGCTAAAAATACAAAAATTAGCCGGGCTCAGTGGCATGCACCTGTAATCCCAGCTACTTGGGAGGCCAAGGCAGGAGAATTGCTTGAACCTGGGAGGTGGAGGTTAGAGTGAGCCGAGATTGCACCACTGCACTCCAGCGTGGGTGACAGAGAAAGACTCTGTCTCCAAAAAAAAAAAGGAATTGGAAGTACAGATGGGTGTTTAGGGTCCATATGCACAGATTTTAAAGAGGTGAGTGAGTGAGCCACTTGATTACCTGAGAGAAGAGCATCCCAGACAGTGAGGAAGCCAGTGTAAAGGCTCTGGGTGAGAGTGTGCTGAGCATGTTTGAAGAGTGTTGTGGAGACCAACAGAGTGAGCAGAGGGGACAGTCAGAAGGTGAGAAGATTAGAGATGTGAGGACAAGAAGGACGGCTCAGTATATCTCACACAACCATAAGGTGGTGTGTCAGTAGTTTGTGCTTAATAGCAATGGAATGAGAGGCCATTGAATGTTCCTGAAAAGAAGAACACCATGATCTTATTTATATTTTAAGAGGAACACTCTCCTATGATATAAGTAGATGATTAGGTGCAAGAGTTATGACAGGTAGATCAGTGAGAAATAATGGTCCAGGTGAGAGGTAATAGTGGCTTTGAAAAGGTATGTCTTTTGTGGCCGGGCTTGGTGGCTCATGCCTGTAATCCCAGCACTTTGGGAGGCCAAGGTGGGTGGATCACCTGAGGTCAGGAGATGAAGACCATCCTGGCCAACATGGTGAAACCTCGTCTTTACTAAAAATACAAAAATTAGCTGGGCGTGGTGGCAGGCACCTGTAATCCCAGCTATTTGGGAGGCAGAGGCAGAGGATTGCTTGAACCCAGGAGGCAGAGGTTGCAGTGAGCCAAGATCGAGCCACTGCACTCCAGCCTGGTGACAGAGTGAGACTCCATCTCAAAAAATAAATAAATACATGAAAAAATATGTCTTTTGTATGTTCTTGATAATTTTTGTTTTGTAGTGTGTTTTGGGTCTATGTTGCTGGGAGAAACACTTTCTGATGCTTTTATGTAACTGATTTTCAGATACAGTTGAACAGGTAATTTGATTTGGGGGCTTGGAGTTTGCAAAGAAGTAGTCCATATACTTGGAGGAATTGATCAGATCAGCATTAACAAGAATTTCCACTTCTGAGGATGTTAAAAAATGTCTGAAAAAGGTTTCCATAGTCTCTTAAATTTGGGAAGTGCTTCATTTCACAAAATATGAAAGGTTTCTTGATAATAGTACACATTGTTTCCCAAATTATGTGATTATAATACCTTTTAAAAACAACACAGAAGACCTTGGAAGGTTTTCCTTGTGACTTACCACTTGTAAACACTGAGAAATGGTGATATGTTTCAATTTCATATTTTCTCATTGACTCGTATCAGGGTAAAAGAAAATCAGTTGAAAAATTACCCTTGCTTTTTTAAAATTTACGTGATAAAATAGCCCATCTGAATTTACTGAATTTGTCCTTATTTTTATTGAATATGAAAAAAGATTGTTTAGTGTGTTGGATGTTAAATGCTAAGACAATTTTAGAATTTAAGGAATTGAATATACTGTATCCTCATGTTCATTTGCATGCCAGGATCTCACATCCTTTGCAGAAGGAAAGGTACATTCCTAGGGATAAAATAAATGCATGTTTCTTGGACAACATTTTTGCTTTCTGTTTGCTAAATAAAAATCCTTTTTAAAAATTTAGTATTGCCACACTTTGCCATATTAAAAATGTTTTAGATTACTATATTATCCTGAAACTACATGGACACACACACCCCTAAAATAAGTTTTATGGTTTTTCATATGCCTGTACGGGAGAAAAAATAGGAAAAGAATACAATCATCATAAGTTCTTATTATTACATTATGCTGAGATTTCTAATAATGCTGCCATTTTCTGGGTATTTTGTATTAAACCTAAAATTTGTGATGTTTTAGACTGTTTCACTAACATGTTTTGATAACGTCTCAGTACCCTTGGGAAAGCATTATAAAGTAGTGGGCAACGATGAAACCTACTCTGGATGTTTTTAGGCAAATTTTTTAACTTCTCTGATGTTAGTGTTCTCATTTATAAAATAGGTGAACCAGGATGAGCCCATAGGATAGTTGTGCTGATGAGGTGCAAGGATGCATGCCAGGCACCCAGCACTGGCTCTTCCCAGACATGGAGTGCTCAGTAACCGTGAGCTATTAGAATACAAGTGCCCAACCAGTGCTTGAGCAATTGTGTTCTGTGTCCAACAGAACTCAACAAAATCCCACGTTTGTCTTTATATGTGAATTCAGTTCCTTTTGAGACAGTAAGAAATTATGCCTGTGTTGGGGTAACTGAACTTTCAGGAGGAGGGAATTGTCTGCCACAATTATTCTCTGAACTTAATGTTTCCATGTCTTTTTCTTCATTTTGGAAGTTGTGGAAAAATTATAATGAAAGAGTATATAAACGTTTTCCTCTGTATTATAGCATCTCTGACAGTTTCCTTTATTAAAAAGTATGTTACATTAGGGAGAGACTTGATGAATTTAAAATTAAAGTTTGAAAAGTGTTATTGACTATAAGTGATCTTCAGCTGTGCAGTTTTCAACTTGAGGTTGTCAGAATGTAATATTACACATTATATTACACACATCTACAGAATCCAAATTGTGATGTTCCTGGAGTATTGGAACAATACCTATGACTTTTTGTTTCTATTGATTTTTAACTCTTCTAATAACCACTTCTTTAAGAAAAGTCATACATTATCACTTTGGTGTATCAGAAACAAATTCCTTACGCAATAAAAGCATACTTCTTTCTCATTCACCTACTGGGATCTAGAAACCCTGTTAATGCAAGAAAAAAATCCCAAACCTCAATAAAATAACACTCTGTTTGTCTGAAGTGTGGAAACACAACACATTTCCTCTCAACTGGTGGTCGCAGATCGACCATCACAGTGTATGGATGTGTTTGGAGGTGTAGGAATAGGACTGCACTGAGGCTCTAGAAGGCCAGCAGGTGGGGCAGACTGAATGGAGGGAGGGGACTGGCATTCAGTAACTACTGGAGCGTGGGAAGAGTGAGGTAGACTGTCCATCTGGTGAAGGTGGCTGCTTCCTTGAGGTTTGTTACTTTCTGTAATGTTAATTCCCTCAACTTTTAAAATTTGATTTTTAGACAAGTTATACATTCAAATGATTTAAAATTGGAAAATAATAAAAAGGTAAACAGTGAAGTCTCTCCCTTTCCCCTGCCTTCATGCCCCCAGTTTACATCTCCAGAAACCTCAGAGGTTTTTCGTGTAACCTTCCAGATGTATTTTATGCATGTACAAGGAAATGTGTGTGTATATATATATATATTTTGTGTGTGTGTGTATATATATATTTTGTTCCTTTTGTCTTACTACTTTTTACTGTCCTTCATTTTTTTATGGCTGCAAATATTCCTTTGTATGGAAATATAAGCAATTTAATTTACCTGTTCTTTCCCCTGTTGATAGACCTTTGGGTTTCTTTCAATTTTTTTTTTTTTTTTTTGAGACAGAGTCTCGCTCTGTCGCCCAGTCTGGAGTGCAGTGGCACGATCTTCGCTCACTGCAAGCTCCGCCTCCTGGGTTCACGCCATTCTCCTGCCTCAGCCTCCCGAGTAGCTGGGACTACAGGCGCCCGCCACCACGCCCGGCTAATTTTTTTGTATTTTTAGTGAGACGGGGTTTCACCATGTTAGTCAGGATGGTCTCTATCTCCTGACCTCGTGATCTGCCCGCCTCGGCCTCCCAAAGTGCTGGGATTACAGGCGTGAGCCACCGCGCCCGACTTTCTTTCAATCTTTTACTGTGAATAGTACAATGAATCACCTGGTATATTTATAATGTTGTATGTAAGTGGGCCTGCAAAGGTGAATTCCTTGCTAAATCCAAAGACATAATGCATTTGAAACTGTTTTTGGCAGGTAGGATACAGTTTTTTTTTTTTTTCATTTATTTTTATTATACATATCTGAGGTATACAACATGCTTTGTATACATAGTGAAATGATTACTATGGTCAAACAAATGTCTGTATCCTTCACCTTCCATAGTTACTCTCTGTGTGTGTACACCTAAAATCTCTTTCAGCAAATTTTCAGTACACAATATTATTAACTATGGTTCTCATGCTGTGTATTAATTTGATCTCTAGAATTATTCATCTTACCTAACTGCAGATTTGTACCCTCTGACCCACTTCTGCCCATCCTACCCATCCCCTACCTCCAGACCCTTGATAACCACCATTCTACTCTCTATACATTCAGTTTCTCACCCCGCTGCCTCCCATTCTGCTTCTTAAGTGAGATCATACAGTATTTTTCTGTGTCTGGCTTACTTTATTTAGCATACTTTCCTCCCAGTTCATCCATGTTGTCACAAATGGCAGTATCTCCTTTCTTAAAGCTAACTATCCCATTGTATAAAGTCCTCATTGTCATCAGTAAGTTCTTAGAAACTGTGGTTAAGAGGCGAAAAAAAAGTATGACAAAACTGATTTTTTTTTCATTTTGCATTATGCCAAAATTAGATTGAAGGAAACAGTGTTACTTGAGGACCTGCTGTATGTTCATTTAGCTTAACGTCTCAGTTCCCAAGAACCTATTGATGACATTAAGGGAGGACTTAATATATGTGTATACACACGTCACAATTTCTTTATCCATTCATCTGTCCTTGAATGGGTAAGTAAATTGTCCATTAGGACACTTAGTTTGTTTCCATATCTTGGCTATTGGGAGTAATGCCGCCATGAACGTGGGAGTGCAGATGTCTCTCTCAGATGCTGATTTTATTACCTTTGAATATATGCCCAACAGGGGCATTGTTGGATCTTATGGTAGTTGTATTTTTTTTAAGGAAACTCTATACTGTTTTCAATAATGGCTATACTAATTTACATTCCTATCAACCATGTACAAAGGTTTCATTTTCTACACATCCTCACCAACACTTATGTCTTTGCCTTTTTGTTAATAGTCATTCTAAGAGACACGAGATGATATCTATTGTGGTTTTAATTTTCATTTTCCTCATGATTATGATGTTGAGCATCTTTTCATATACCATTTGACCATTTGTGTGACTTTGGAAAAATGGCTATTCAGGTCCTTGCCTATTTTAAAATCCAGTTATTTGGGGTTTTTTTTTTGCTACTGAGTTGTGTGAGTTCCTTATATGTTTTGGATTTTAACGCCTTATCAGATGTGTGGTTTGCCAATATTTTCCCCTAATCCCTGTGCTACCTTTTTACCCCGTTTGGTTTTTTTTTATTGCTATGCAGAAGCTTATTTGCTTGATGTAGTCCCACTTGCTTAATTTTGCTTTTGCTACCTGAGCTTTTGGTGTGATATCCAAAAAATCATTGTCAAGGAGGATATTAAGGAGTTTTTCTCCTATATTTCCTTCTAGGAGTTTTATGGTTTCAGGTGTTAGGTATTTAATCTATTTTGAGTTGCTTTTTATGTATGATGTGTAAGACAGGCATCAGGTCCAGTTTCATTCTTTTGCATATAGATATCTAGTTTTCTTACCACTACTTATTGAAGACACCATCTTTTCCCTATTGTATCTTATTGGACTTGTCAAAAATTAGCTCATAATATATGTTTGGGTTTATTTTTGGGCTCTGTATTCAGTTCCATTGATCCATGTGTCTGCTTTTATGCCAGTACCATACGTTTTGATAACTATCACTTTGTAATATAAGTTGAAATCAGGTAGTGTGATACCTTCTACTTTGTTTTTCTTTCTCAAGATTCTTTTGGCTATTCAGGGTCTTTTATGATTTAATACAAATTTTAGAATTGTGTTTTCTATTTTTGTGAAAAATGCCTTTGGAAATTTGATAGGGATTGCATTGAATCTCTAGATCACTTTGGATAGTATGGACATTTTAACAATTTTCTTCCAATCCACAAACTTGGGGATATCGTTATATTTATTTGTGTCTTTAGTTTTTTTCTGTTTTTTGAGACAGAGTCACGCTGTGTTGCCCAGGCAGAAGTGCAGTGGTGTGATCTCAGCTCACTGCAACCTCCGCCGCCTCCTGGGTTCAAGCAATTCTGCTGCCTCAGCCCCCCAAGTAGCTGGGATTACAGGTGCCTGCCATCATGCCCGCCTGGCCAATTTTTGTATTTTTAGTAGAGACAGGGTTTCGCCATGTTGGCCAGGCTGGTCTTGAACTCCTGACTTCAGGTGATCTACCCGCCTTGGCCTCCCAAAATGCTGGGATTACAGGTGTGAGCCACCATGCCCGGCTGTGTGTCTTCAGTTTACTTTGTCAGTATTTTATAGTGTTTAGTATATAAAGTTTTCACTTCCTTCATTAAATTTGTTCCTCAGTGTTTTATTCTTTTTGATGTTATTTTAAGTGGAAATGTTTTCTTGATTTTTTTTCAGATCATTATTTGTATAAAGAAATGCATCTGATTTTTGTATATTGATTTTGTATCCTGCTACTTGACTGAATTCATTTATTCTAGTAACTGTGGAATTTTTAGGGGTTTCTACATACAGGATCATGTCATCTGCACACAGGGATAATTTTACCCCCTTTTTTCTGCTGCCTTTTATTTCCTTTTCTTATGTGATTGCTCTGGCTAGGACTATGGTGAATATAAGTGTTAAGAGTAGGCATCCTTGCCTTGTAGCAGATATTGAAGAAAAGCTTTCAGTCTTTCCCTGTTGTAGGTTTGTTTTTGAATAGGCAATACCTGTGCATGATACAAGAAATACAAAGGTCTTAAAAAGAGTGAACAATGTTAAGTTAGCCTACCTTTTGGCCATCCCTTCCTTGGAAAGAACCAGTGTTTTCTTATAACTTTCCAGAGATTAGTCATCTAGATACAAGTATGTATATATGGGAGAATTTCTCATATTTGGGTGATAACGGTCTTTTTCTCTTTTTCTTTTCTTTTCTTTTCTTTCTGTCTTTCTTTCTGTCCTCGTCTCGTCTCTTCTCTTCTCTTTTCTTCGTTTCTTTTGATGGAGTCTTGCTTTGTCGCCCAGGCTGGAGTGTAGTGGCGCAATCTCGGCTCACTGCAAGCTCTGCCTCCCAAGTTCACGCCATTCTCTTGCCTCAGCCTCTGGAGTAGCTGGGACTACAGGCACCCGCCACCACGCCCGGCTAATTTTTTGTATTTTTAGTAGAGACAGGTTTTCACCGTGTTAGCCAGGATGGTCTCTATCTCCTGACCTCGTGATCCACCCGCCTCAGCCTCCCAAAGTGCTGGAGAGGCATGAGCCACCGTGCCTGGCCGATAACAGTCTTTTTCTTTATTTCAGCCTGTGGGAATCAGAAGGCCCTTGTGAAGATGTTGGTTAGAAGAGACTTTAGCCTACAGTGATACCACTTGTGTTAGGGCACTGTATGTGCTACTTTATGCCATTTGTCTCAACATGTATGCTTACTGGTGTCACTGTGAACCTCATCAATAAAAGTGCTCTCTTGGTTTTTACTGTCCTTGTGTGCATTGTTTCAGGTGAAAGGTGGCCTTTGTGCTAGATCCAGTGCTATCCTTGGCCACAAACCATTACATATGATTAACTTGGGGATTTCCTCTTCATCATCCTGGAGATCATCTTCTGTTCTCTCCTGTGTTACATGTGTTTTCTGCAATTTCATGAATTTCTCTTTATTTCTTCCCTCAATTTGGGTGGAACGTATCTTCCATAGCTCCCTGACAGAGAATGTGTGGAAGGTAAGTTTTGAGCATTATATACTTCTGAAAATGTCTTTATTTTACCTTCCTACCTGACTCATCTTTTCCAGGTTGGAAATACATTTTCATTTATCATTTTTAGTCAATTGATCCACTGTCTTTTAGTTTCTAGTATATGAAGAACTCGGTTTTTTCTATGTGACCTGTGTTTTCTTGGAAGCTCTTAAGATTTTAGGAAATTCTTTGTCCTCAGTGTTCTAAAATTTCATGAGGATAACGTCTGTTTTTGTCTATTTTTGATATTTAAAATCTGTTTCGTTAGGCACTGAGTGGTCTCTTTCAGTCTGCTGTCTTATATCCTTCAGTGGTAGGAAATGTTCTTGAACTATATTATTGATAACAATTCCCTCTCTTTTTCCAGAATTC